>NT_187553.1:0-271782 GCF_000001405.40 Homo sapiens
GCTGGGGACGATCACAAAGCCTCTCTGGTGCCCGGCCAGCGACAGGGACCCTCGGGGCTGCGGGGGGAGAGGACGCCCCTGCCCTGGCCGCACAGGGTTGGGTTAGAGGTGAGCTGGGGCCGGAGAAGCCACGGGAGCCATGTGGCGCCTTCTCAGGAGGTGCTCCCGCAGCTTCGCCTCCTCTCGTCTTCCGTGCGCAGGGAGGGACCAGCCCAGTGACAGCTGGGAGCAAAACTGGTCACCTCCCCTCGGGCTCTGGGCAACTGTCAACCTGCAGCTTTGAGTCTCTCCCCCTGGAATCTTCTATCTGGGGTATGATAATGTTATTACATACGTTGGTTATTTACAGCACAACATGAAAAGGCAATTTGTAAGGACTGGTCCGTCTAATCGGGGCGAATCACCAGTCTTCTGAGGCATCGTATTGAGTTTAGTTTCCGACTGATTGCTAAATGCCTTCACGCTGCGTGGATATTGCCCAGCTCTGCCTCCCTTGCTGCAGGTGCCCTGTGGATGCTGAGCTTCCACGGAGGGGCTGCTGCCCCCTCTGCCCCCACAGCTCAGCTCGAGTTCACCAGTGGGGAAGGCCGAGGGCCTGTGGAACGAGGGCTCCGTTCCCCCACCGCAAGGAGTGAACGGCACCGAGGTTCCCGCCGCCGAGCCGCAGCGCTGTGCAAGCCCCCGATGGGCGACGGACACCAGGCCCCAGCCCAACGCGCTTCCTTTGGCTCCTCCTGAACTGGGGGGGGGGCCTCGCACCCGCCTTGCCAGGGCCCTGGCATCTGTCTCACTGGCCTTTCTCACCTGGTATTCCAGTGAGGAGGGTGCTTCAGTTTTACTCCCTTTGAGAGGCAAGATCTTCTCAACCCACAAGAAGAGGCGACCAGGTCCTGGGTGACTGTCGAATAAGCCTGGTCCAACTGGGAACAAGTCTTCTGGGCCCTAATTTCCCACATGGTGTTCTTGTCTGACAAAATCACAGCCTTCCACGTTCAAGAATCTTCATTCATCTCTCTCTTTCAGCGAATGTTCCCTAAGCTCTCCCATCACTGAGCACTGCTGCCAACAGCCCAGCTGCATGCTACCACTTTGGTTTGATGGAGAGAAGGGCTCAGAACCTCGTGCAAGTGGGAGGCAAGCACAAGTACAAAGGCATCTTCCGGAGCCAAGGTGGGGGCGCAGAGGGCCTGTCTCAGTGAGATCCCACTGTCTTCCAGGGTTTGCCACCGCAGCAGTAAGCCCTGGAGTGGCCCCACACCCTAAGATCCACGGGGGAAAAGGTGGATGTCTCAGCATGGGTTTGTAACATTGTTCTCTTAAATAAGCAGAGGATGCAGAATTAGGAGCAAGCATTCCGAGGGGTGGCCAGCTGTGGCTTCCGAGGGGCACCTGACCTCCCATCTGCCTTCTGAGCACCAGCTGCCCCAGGTGAGGTGTGTGGAGTTCCACAGCTACGATGAGCCGTCGCCATGGAGAACAGCAGCTCACGATTGCTTTGATTTAAATTGAATTAAGGTGAAAATGAATCAGGGCATAACTCTCTTCTTTCAGCCAGACGTCTTTCTGAACCGGTGTATATATGACTTAAAAAAGTCACGAGGGTTTTGGGCCCAGGGATCAGGCAGGAAGGAAAGGCAGTGCCGTGCAAGGAGGGGTGGGTTAGAAATTGTATCCAGAACCGCTGTGGCTTGTACTGAAGGAAGAAACTTCGTAGTTCTGCTTCTATTTCTACCACAACACCAAGGAAGGTGTGTGGGGTGGGGAGCAGGTACACACAGGTCCTTGGTATTACCAGTGGTCCAGGATTGTATAATTCCGCTTATTCTACCCATCCCACAGCCTGACCCTGACTCAAGTCCTGCAGCCCCTTGGTGCCCTGAGCCCCCTCCCCTGCCTGTTCCTAAGCAATCAATCACCCTAAGACCCCGTTCTAGGTTTCAGCAGATGATGACGAGTTAATCAGACAAATAAGCCATGGGGTAGGCAGGGGTTGTGGGTGCTGCTTCCTGGTCCCTCTGGCAAACCAGAAGGGAGCTGCCTCCCTGCGGTCCCCACCCTGTCTCCAAGCTTCCCAGCAGAGCCCCACATCCAGCAACTGGGCCCAGCTTTAACCAGACGGAGGAGCAGCCTGACGTCCTGCCAGCCCCAGAGACAGATGTGGGCACAGGAAGGGAAGGCAGGGAGGAGAGGAAGCCAATAAAAAGTGTTAGCATCCGTCAGGGTGACCCTTTGCAGAACCTGCGTCAGCCTGAGGACGCAGGGAAAGGCTGCGCGGGAGAAGCCGCTGTTAGCATCTGCCAGGGTGACCCTTTACAGAAACTGCGTCAGCCTGAGGACGCAGGGACAGGCTGTGCGGAGAAGCCGCTGTTAGCATCCGTCAGGGTGACCCTTTACAGAAACTGCGTCAGCCTGAGGACGCAGGGACAGGCTGTGCGGAGAAGCCGCTGGCCTTTGCCGCTTGAAAGCTGGGTCCCTGCGGCCTCCTCACCCCAGGGCTCCCTCAGAGAAATTCTCATAGAACCCCTAAGCAATACGCGGGGAAAGAACGGATGCCACCCGGAAGCATGCCGAGGAAGAGTCCATTCATGGGAACTTCCAGAGCCGGTCACAGAGGCCAGATCCACGATCAGGTGCATGGCAGGGGCTTGTCCGCAGGACCGGAACCTTGGTGAGCATCAGCGATGGGCACTGTGTTTCCCCAAGAGTGACCTGGGGTGCCTTCAGGCCAGGCGCAGCTTCTACTCCTCATTTATCTCCACCACGCAGAGCAACGTGCGGCACAGACGAAGCACTCAGGGAACATTTAAATGAGTCCGTGGGATGCACCTAAAAGAAATAGAGGTTTCCAAAGAATAAGCAGGTACAAGTTAGACCCCACAAAAAAGATAGGCAGGCAGGCATTTGTTAAGTCCATTTCATTTCACCCTAGGGTTTTAACATCAAAGTATCCCTGTAATGAAGAGGCATTTTGTTACCCAAATTCTCATGTTCTTCAAGAGGGAGTAGAAAGGAAAAAAAGATGAAAAGGGAGAAACAGTACAGCCCCTACCTTCAAACTTACTACCCCCACCATACACACACACAGACACACACACAGTAAATGACATGGATATTTATCCAGTCTGCCATAAGACACCTGGCCCCACCTTATAAATGAGGGAAGCCTGGGCCAGCACAGTGGCTCTCAACTATAAGCTCAGTCTTTGGGTGGTCAAGATGGGAGGCTCACTTGAGCCCAGGAGTTTGAGACTAGCCTGGGCAACATGGCAAAACCCCATCTCTCCAAAAAATACAAAAATTAGCTGGGCATGGTGGTGGCACATTCCTGTGGTTTCAGCTACTCAGGAGGTTGAGGTGGGAGGATCCCTTGAGTCTAGGAGTTCAAGGCTGCAGTGAGCTGAGATTGTGCCACTGCACCCCAGCCTGAGCAAAAGGAGTAAGACCCTGTCTCGAAAAAAAAAGAGGGAAGCTCGGTGCTGGGTATGTCAGAGATGGAAAGACTCTTTCCAGTCTTTATGTCTCATTGGACAACGTGAAGATTCAACTTCCAGGGCTGCTCAGTAGAGCCAAGTCTGGAAAACAAGCTCGTGGGCACCACATCACAAGCACGTTTTCCCTGGAGCCCGCGTTGTCACTACTGTATTCCCAACTCCACTCCGAGGGCCTTTCAGGGTGGAGGAGAGAGCTGTGGCCAAAGGCAGTGAGAGGCAGAACCCCCAGCCCAAAAGCCAGATTTCAGCCTCAGGGACGAGCCAGGGCTCACCACCCCCGCGACACCGCAGGCCTCTGTGCGGAGACTGTGCTCAGGCCCAGCGCTTGCGCTGGAGAAAAGGCGGAGACATTCAGAACCCAGGGGATTCCAGGCTGCCTTCTCCACAAGGGTCAGGTTTGTGGAGGAGAAAGGGGAAGATTCTCCACCCACCAGGCGCCTCCTGGACTGTCAAGAACTAACAGGGACTAGATCACCCGAAATAGCAGATCAAATTGAAACAGCATACTTAGCTTTTGGAACGAACCACGAAGCAGGCAGGAGGACCGGAGATTGCAACATACTGACCTTCCGAGTCCTGTTTGGGTCAGTTTGTTAAAATTAGTTTGTCCTCCCTGGAGACACGGCCAACGCAGCCTTTTCCGTGGCAGGAGTCCAAACACAGTCTCTGCTGCTCTCCACGCACGGCAATGGGAAGGCAGCCCTTTCCCCTCCATCACTCCGGGGAGCTCACGTGCGGACGGGGTCCTCTGTAGCATCTTTAAATTGGAGGTGACTTTGTACCGTTGGAGCCGGGGGCAGAGTCAGCAGTGACCTCAACAGTTAGGACCAGGATAAGTTCCTTCTGCTGAAAGAGGACGTTAAGATGAGAAGGGCTTGGCCGGGCGCGGTGTTTCACGCCTGCAATCGCAGCACTTTGGGAGGCCGAGACCATCCTGGCTAACACGGTGAAACCCAGTCTCTACTAAAAATACAAAAAATTAGCGGGGTGTGGTGGCGGGCGCCTGTGGTCCCAGCTGCTCGGGAGGCTGAGGCAGGAGAATGGCGTGAACCCGGGACGCGGAGCTTGCAGTGAGTCGAGATCGCGCCCCTGCACTCCAGCCTGGGCGACAGAGCGAGACTCCGTCTCAAAAAAAGAAAAAAAGAAATGCTTTTAGCGCACTTAGAGCATTTAGAGCAATGGGATGATTAATTCCATTTTCCATTTCGGGCCTCATCTCAAGTATTTTTATTTCTTTCTCTTCCTCACCTTCCTGCCACCATTTGTGGTGGCAAATGTGACATTTCACATTTACACCATTGTCCAGTTTCTCTAACAGCTTGACTTTCTGTGCTATAAACATAAACACTTCCCCTTTATCCCCTTTAACAAACTGCTGTCTCTCTAGGGGTATCTGCAGGCCTCTTTGACATTTTCAACATTAACTTTAAGCTACTGAGCAAAAAATGAGCAAAAAACCCAGTCAGGGCTAGAGTGTAATCATGACGAATAAACTGGGGGTTTCATGATATTTCTGACACCTGTTTGACTACAGAGACACTGAACTGTCCTCTGCCAGGTCCAGCCTGGGCTCTAGAGCCTGCGTCTGAGGCCCCTGCCCCACTCGTTGGGAGCAGCTCCAGGGCTCCCCCACCTCCCTTCCCTCTCCTGTTTCAAAAGTATTGACTTTGAGGATCAGAAATGGTCCTAACTGTTGCTTTTTCATTTTAACTAAAACTCTCAAATTTAGAGTGTTTTTCCCTTTTCAATACACCTTTTTAATATTGCTTTTTTTTTTTTTTTTAAGATGAAGTCTTGCTCTGTCCCCCAGGCTGGAGTGCAGTGGCGCAATCACAGCTCACTGAAGCCTCGGCCTCCTGGGCTCAAGCCGTCCTCCTGCCTCAGCCTCCTGAGTAGTTGGGACCACAGGTGCCACCAGCACACTCAGCTAATTCTTTTAAAATTTTTTTGTAGAGACAAGATCTAACTCTGTTGCTTATTGCATTTTTTTATTTCAAATGTTTATACCAAATTTTTTTCTAAGCTTCTAAGAAAGAGCTGAAATTCACAAAATCCAATTCATACTAATTCTAGAAGAAACAATACTTGCCCTTCTGCAGGTGAGCAATTCCTATTGTAAGCGTCTGACACCAGACGCCCTTCCCCCCTTCTTCCTTCCTTCCTCTCTCCCCCCACAGGTCAGGGTGGGACAGCGCAAGAGAGAAAGTTGGAGACACCACGAATCCCGTCACAAACACTCTTAGGCCACTTCCATAAAAGTGTAAGAGGTTCTAGGCATCAGGCTAAAGTACTGCTGTTGAGGTCCATAATGTCTACACCAGGGTGCCACTTGGGGGTTTGGCAAGGCAGGCTGAGGAGCAGGAAGTAGCAGATTCTGATCCTGTCTCTGAAAAGTGATTTTATTTGTTGAATATCCCAGCACTGAGCTGTGAATTAAGATTCACTAAAGGAATCAAGGTTCTTGTAAAATATCCAGGACCACAAAGCAGAGATATTTTTCCTTATGGTTCAATAATTTTAAAGTTCAAATTAACTTAAAACAGTAACATGCTTTTCGTGAATGGTGCTTTGACCATGGGTTTAGACACCGAGGAAGCAGAGGAAGTTGGTGCACAGGAAACAGCCTGGGAGGCCCTTGGCAGCTGAGGCACACGTCTGCACCTCTTGCCATGGAAGGTTGGCTTGTCTTCTAAAAATCGTATCCGAGGAAGATTCTACCACTTCCTCGATAAACCACTGACAGCCTTGAAGTTTTCTTCATGCCTCGATCCAACGAGAATGCCCTGTCCTGCAATTTTAGATGATTTCCTCTTACACTGACCTTATTTTCTTTGAGAACGTAATTAATGACATGAGTCTTGTCATTTTTCTTTTCTGTGCTTTAAAAAAAACAAAAGGTTCTGATGCTCATGTTGCAATACATTTTAAAATGCTGCTTCATTCTGCCTTCCTCAGGTACCTCACTCCGGATTCTATTAAAATCGTAATCTCTAGAAGATGGATTCAGCAAATGCCAGGCGTGGAGCCATGAATGTTTCCATAAGAAACAAGAAAAATAGAAAGAATGTGTGTTAGCCAGACGACACCTTGATGGCACCCCTGCCACCTCCCCAGCCCTCCTCAGTGGCAAAGTGATTTAGCTCAGTTGGGCTTCTCCAAAATGGAAATAGTCACTTGTTTGAGCAAATAAATGTAATGAAAGTTGTTCCGGAAAAATTCTAGTACTCTGCACTAATACATATCATCTTAAAAACTTATCTCTGAATTGTTTCCAAATGACAAATGTGTAAAGTTTCTAAGTACTTTTTGTTTCCTTATCCTTGTAGTGGAAGATACTACATTCAACACAGACGTACTGTGTGCCTCCTGCGTGTGAGGCCTGGTGCTCATGGCGCGTGTCCTTGCATGCAAAATTCTACTCTTCATCTTGACGTTTCTAGACATTCAGCTGTTCCTCAGGAAACGATTTACCTTCCCTCTGCCTTTTCTGTAAAATGCATGGACTGAGGAATTACTAATGCATAACACTTTGTTTGCTGGATACCAAGTAGACGCACTCTTACCATATACAGGGCTGTATCTAGGCAGCCAGTTATTAGAATAAAAACAGAATACTATGTTCATCCGCTCAGATAATCCCTGTGTTTGGCTTCATGTTATGGTTCGAAACTCCTAGTGACATTGGTAAGAGTGAACACGAGAATGAAGCTTCTTTCATGATGAAATGTCCTGAGTGTGTGTCTGTGTGTTCTCAAATTATAGCTCACATGGATAGAGAACGTTTTCTTGCTTCAGCCTCAAGTGGGGATTGGGTTGCAGTGGTGAACCAGGGCCAACACAGCCCGCCCTCTTTGAGGTTGCAGTCTCCTGGGACACACGCCCACTAAACAAACAGCTACACGAATTAATCATGCCACAGGGCAAACTGCAAGAGCACCATCACGTGCGGCAGGTAACCCAGGCGGGTCATTTTCGTGGCGGAAGAAGGTCACACTGGAAGTCACCAGACAGATGGAAGATCCCACTCAAAGTCGCAGAGTGGGGGCGGATGGAGAACCAGGCTGCCAGGGCGCTGGCTGGAGCCGAGCGGTAACAGACCCGTGGGAGAATAACGAAACGAGGCTCCAAGACAGGCGGGAGCCGGATGGTGCATGACCTGAGAGGCCAAGTCAAGGATTTTGAACTCCACGCTAAGAGCAGCCGGAAGCCGTTCGCTGGCGCCAGCTGAGCACATGCGCAGAACCGTGCCCTGAAAGGCACCGTCCCCTGCAGACGGGAGGAGGTGCTCCCAGCACTGCTGCAGACGCTGCCGTTTCCCTTTCAAGGACTCAGCAGAGTGGGCAATCACCTAGGCGCGCCACCAGCGAGCCTGAGACTCTGCTACCAGCGTCCTTGACCGGACTCCCGCTCTCCACCCAGTTTAATTGGCTTGCTTTTGGCCTTGTAAGATTTCTCATCTGCGATGTGCGTATGCAACCACAGCAAGCCTCCCTCAGATGCATTCTGCTGTGGGTCACGTCACAGACACGGCGGTCCATACACACCCGGAAACTGTCGTGTTTGCGTGTGCGTGTATTCACTGTATGGTCCGGCTTAATGCTTTTGCTTATGGGAAGTTTCAAACGTGTACGAAAGAGGAAAGAACACGGAAGTGAGCGCCCCCATGGGCCACTCCCAGCTGCAGCGACCCCCAGCAGTGCTCGTGGGACTCCCCGTGCCACCGTGCCCGCGGCGGGGGGCTCCGAATCAGTCCCAGGCCTCGTATTGTTTCATCCATAAATATTTCAGAATTTTCTCTAAAAGATAAGGTCTCTTTTTAAACTGAACAGTAATAACACATCACATCTAAACTATTTAGCAGGTGCACTTTAAAATCATGTGGATATCCCAGTCAGCGCTTACATGTCTCCAGTGGGTTCATAAAATTTTTAAACTGTTTGAAACAGGAACCAGATCCAGACGCTGCGATGGATTGATATGTCCGTGTCTCTTTGTATCTATGGGTTCCCCCTCACCATTTTCTTGTTTTTTCCTTGCAATTTATTTGGCTACAGAGTTCCCTGGATTCGGCTGCGCAGATGCGTGGGGCGTCGAGGAAGGAGTTTTCAGTCCCGTGTTTCCGTAACTGGTAATGAGACTGAGAGCTGTCATCGGATTCAAGCTCAATGTTCTTAGCAAAACACTTCTCCTCTTTGCTGGTGTTGCTGGCCTGGCATTTAACGTGCCCTTAATGCAAGGAGGAAATGCAAGCGGAGTCGGGTCTGAGGGGAGTGAGCGCCAGTGCCTCCGCGCAGCTCCTGCTACATCGGTCGCCCTCTTTCCATCCTGGGAACCGCTCAGCGCTTTGAGGTACGCGCAAGTTAAAAATGCAATCACTACCATAAGGAACCCGGGCTTAGCGGGGGGCAAAGCGGCAAATGAGGGGTCAGCCCACAGGGAGCCCGTGCGGTCCTGCTGAGCCAGCAGGCGGGACGCGCTTAGAGACGGGGCTGCCCACCGACGGGAAGCGGAGGAGCAGCTTCCGTGACTCCCACGCCCCGTCTGGGGCCATGTTGGCGTCAAACGGCGACAAAATCATGACAGCTGTGACCCACTGGGTACAAAATAACTCACAAGTCTACACTGACATGAATGAATGAATGAATGAATGAATGAATGAATGAATGAGGAACGCTCATTCTTTCTGCGGAAAGAACTAATAAATGCATGGGGGGATGGAATTAGAAAATCGCGGCTGCTTCATGCGCGTGCCTGCTCTTACCAAGTCACCTCATGATGGCCAGCAAGCAGCTTCCTGAGGGAGGAGAGGAACGGGCTGCTTCTCATGGATCCAGGGAAACCAAAGCCTTGAAAAGAGAAACACCAAGGCCACCTCTGCCCTCAGCCTCGCGGGCCGCAGGTGAGTGAGCACACCTCCGCTCTAAGGCAAAGCCAAGTAACTACGCCTTCTGGTTGTCATTCATAAAATTTATTTTGGAAAAATATTTTAAAAAGGAATTTCTTCATTAACAAAACAGTAAAAAACTCAAATAACATTTGCACAATATTCCATAAATACATTTATATACAAAAAAATATAGTCACATAGACCCGAAGTGCCTTTGTACATATTTACCAAAATTTAAATTATAAAAAACGAACATCACAAAATACTCAAGCTTTACAGATATCATGAAAAATATTTTTACAAATCCAAAAAATAACACACATCTTTTCCATCTAGAAAAAGCACATCTTCGTATCAAAAAGGACAATAAAGGCAGTGTTTGTGTTTCTAATTCAAGAAAAGACTGGCTCATAAGAATCCAAAATATACACTCAGGCAGTGCATGCTTCTTATGCGTAATTCAGTTCACCCATTTAAATATATATTCTCTTAAGAGCAACTGTCCATAGTGCAACGGCGACGTCACGGAAGGCAGTGCCGCAGGCGGCCGGGCCGCGACAGGCTGTCGGCAGGCGTCGAGGACCTCAGGAGGAGAACCTGCTCGGTCTGAACTCGGTTTCTCAGCAGCAGTCCACGAGGCCTCCCTCCTCTTCAGCAGCATTCGTTGGGGCATATATCCTTGGAATTTTACTTATTTTAAGAGAAACGGGAGTCTTGCCATCTCACTTCCATTTTACACCTGGGGGGCCACAAGACAAATGGGAAGTTAGCCTGAGACCGATTCCCGTGCTCCAGCTTCAGGTGCTCCCATGCCGAGGAGGAGGGAGCGGCTGCTGCCTGCACTGACCTCAGTTGCTATGACGCACTCATCCTTCTCCTCGGATATGACGTACACCGACTGGTACTTGGTGTCTTTTGAAGTTGAACAGCCCGAGTCCGGCCTTTTTCTTTCAGATGCTTCTCCACTAAAAGGAAAATAGAGAAAATCCACAATGAATGCATGAGAACATTTGGGAAGAGAAACGGAGCAGTGGTTCCAGGAAGACACCCCCCAGGTACCCCCTCCTGATGCCCGGCCCGCAGCACGCACCCCCTGAGTGTGGTCGGGGTCCCCTTCTCCTCCCCTGAGGAGCCCTGGGGCTGGCACTTGGTGTCACGCTTGCTGTGCGCGTCCCTGACGGCGGTGTCGTCACCCTTGAGGTCCTGCACGAGGTTATAGTCCACCGCTGGGTAGCGGGCCTTGAAGCCATTCTTGTCGGCGCTGTGGTCCCCGTGGAAGTCCGCCTTCTTGTTGGTGTTCTTGATCTGCGTGGCCCCGATGATGCTGACTGAGATGTCCTTCTCACGCTGGCAGTTGGCCAGGTTGTTCATGGTCTCCGTCTCCCCCCGGCAGGGGTCGGCTGGGGGCCGGTGCTTCTGCAGCCTCAGCCGGACGCAGACCACCACAGCGGCACAGCCCAGCAGCAGCATGAGGACAAGGATGACCCCGGCGCACACGGCCACCCAGGGGAATGGCCCGCCCTGGCCCTCTAGCTTCTCAGTGAGGTCCACCACCGCTGGGCCCGGGGGCAGCTCGGGGAGCAGGAACTGGCAGTTGGGACCCCCGTAGCCTCGGGCACACTCGCACACATAGCGGTGGCCCCTCTCGTGGCAGGTGGCCCCATTGTGGCAGGGTGCGTGCTCGCACCTGCTGACGGGGGCACTGCAGTTCCTGCCCGTGTAGCCAGGCGGGCAGGTGCAGGAGAAGTCGTTCACGCCATCCCGGCAGGTGCCCCCGTTGGCGCACGGGGAGGAGGCGCAGTCGTCCACGTTGTCGTCACAGTGCCTCCCCGAGAAGCCGGCCTGGCAGCGGCACAGGTAGGCATCACCGAGGTCCACACACTTGGCACCTGGAACACAGGGACATGAACATCACGTGTCTCCTCGTAGGTTTGTTCACCAAAAAGTCACTCTGAAGCATCTATCTGTCTGACACTGTAGAAACCAGACAAACCAAAGACAGTCTGTGGCCTGAATGAGTCCACAGCGCAAGGTGACATGGTTTAGGACCTCAAATACGAGAGGTGTCCAGGTCTAGCTCTACAAGTCAGAAACCACACGGCCAGCATCTGGACAGGCGCTGTGCAGAACACTCTGGTGGCTGCATTAGTCGCCACAACAGCCGGGCAAGAGCATGTGCCACTCGACCCAGGTTTCAGATGGGGAAACTGAGGCTTAACGAGGGTGTCCTTGCCCACAGTTACACAGCAAGTGAGAGGAGCAGGCACTGACAACAGGGGAGGGAGGGAGGGGAAGGATGACCATTCCGGAATGCTCCGGCACATCTGGGGCCCAGCTCTCCTTGCTGTGTGTCTCCTTTGGGCAGCCAGCCCCTCGCTGCTAGCAGGAGGCTCTCTGTCCTCACTCAGGGACACCCCCAACTACTGTGCTGGGTGGCCACACAGCTGGGCCATCCTCCCAAGCTGGAGTGGCCGGCACCTGTGGGCATCACTTACTGAACCTCAGGCGGCCGCAGGTGCCCGAAGCACCTTGTGGCCCTGAGCAAGTCATTCACTGCTTGGTCTAGGTTTCCACAGAGAACTTCATAACAAATGCCCTGGCCTCTCTCATTCCCCAGGCCTTTCCAGACTCAAAGATAGAGTTTCCATCGAGAATTCCTGGCGGTCTGGATAAAAGTGATTCATAAACTCGAGGTCACTCACAAATGCTTGTTTTTAATGCCACCTCAGTATTGACCGCTCGCCCGAGTCTCTGAGCAATCACCAGCTGCCCCCTTACCATTAGAACAGGGTGAAGAGCTGCAGTAGTCAATTTTCTTCTCACAGTTGAAGCCGGAGTAGCCCACGGGGCAGCGGCAGCTGTACCCTCCATCGGGGCTGTCTGAGCACCGACCCCCGTTAAAGCAAGGGCCGTCCGCACAGGTCATGGCACTCAATTCACAGATTTTGCCGTAGAAGCCGGGTGGGCAGGTACAGGAGTAGCTGTTCTCGAGATCCTACACGATGGAGAGGTCAGAAAAGGCTTTCCAAAGTTGCTCCAAGGAGCCCACACACTCCATTCAACACCAGGGCACCCCAGCTTCCGGGTGAGATGCCATGGAGCCTCCGACTCACCGTGCAGCTCCCTCCGTTCTTACAAGGGCTGGGGTCACACTCGTCAATCCCCAGCTCGCAGGTGGCACCTGTGTACCCAGGCCGGCAAGAGCAAGTGTAGCTCCCCTGGCCCGTGTTGGTGCAGGTGGCTCCATTCTTGCAGGGCTTATGGTGTGTGCAGTAGTTCAGGTCTGTGAAGGGTGGGGACAGGAAAAGTAGGAGATAGGAAGCTCGACATCAAATGCAGGAAGACTTTATTTTTCCAGTGATCAAACAGCCAGGGAAGTCCAGGGCTGCTCTGGAGGGAGCAGGCTGCCTCAGGGAGAGAAGGCTTACCCTGGTTGCAGAAAAGGCCCCCCCAGCCTTCCTGGCAGTTGCACTGCCAGGGCTGCTGGCAGGTGCCATGGAGACAGCCTGGATAGCGGATACACTCGTCACAGTACCGGCCCTGCCAGCCCACTCTGCACCTTGGAGAAAAGCAGAAGACTCAGATGGACGTTGACTGTTGCTGGCTTTGCAGTGGACATTCTCACCCTAGAAACCATCTTCCCGCAGCACCAGTGAGCCTCTGGTTCTCCAGATTAGCAGAACACTGGGTCACCTTGGGAGCTGCAGCCTGGGCCTGGGCCCCACCAGAGGTTCTGGCTTCTTGGGTGTTAGGGCAGCACCAGTGTCAGCATCTCAAAAATCACTCCCTGAGTGATTCTAGGATGAGGCAACATTTGAGAACCATTGAACTATACTATCATTTCCTGTGCCAACTCTTTTTAAACTACTATCTGTAAATTCTCATAGCCGTTAAGGGGCTTAGACGAATGACAACTCCATGACCTTACATGCTGCCAAACATTGATTAAGTAGAAACATGAGAAAACGGCCCCCTGTTCAATCAATCTTACTGGAGTTTTTCGAATGATCACCTAGGGCTGTTTTTACAAATACACCAGCTGTGAAAAGATAACAAGAAAAGGCAACAAAACAAAACACCACCTTGTGCAGACTTACTTGCATTCCCCTGGTTTGTCACAAAATCCATGCTGCTCATCACATCCAGGCAGGCAGATCGCTACAAGCAAAGGAAAAACAGGGTCAAGCCCCACGCCAAGTACGTCCCAACAGGGCTGCCGCCCTTGGGGCCAGGACACAACTCGCCGGCTTCAGTCAGCAAATCCCAGCTGAGTTAATCTTCCCAGGTTGTGGAGGACTGACCCCCCTGCCTAGTAGCCTGGGACTTGACTCAGCCCTGGGGATGAGCATTCTTCTTAACACAGGGGCTCAAGGACAAAAGGGCTCTCGGAAGCCCCCACCCCCACCCTATCCCCTTTTCTTCTAAGAGAGGGTCAGAAGTCTTCCCCCTCCTCCTCCCCCACTTCCCAATTCTGTGCACAAAGCTCCACCTCTTAATATCCCAGAAAGTGTGTGTGCAGATAAGAGTGGACAGCTGGTATGCAGGGTGCCAGGGCAGGACAGCTGCTCCATTGTCTGTCCTCCACGGCAGCTGCCCCAGCGCAACAATGCCGGCCTCCCCCGCGCCCCCGGCCCCACCTCCTCACACACACCCCTCGCGTGTACACACACACACACACACACACACGCACACGCACCCCTTCCGCCAATGGGAGCCGGCGGGTGTCCCTGCGCCTATCCCCGGAGAGATCTAATCTATGGCACGCGCGAGCTGGGGGCGGGGAGAGACTTCAGTGTTTGAAGAAAAAAGTTTAAGTTTCTGGCTACCCTGTGGTGAAGAGAGGCAGGGAGGAAGGGTGGGAGGCAGCAGACTGGCCAGAGGCTCCCGCAGGGCAGGGAGTAGACAGTGGGCTTGAGGCTTGGAGCTGGCTCTTGCTGCCTGGTTATGAAACTCATTAACAAGCAGCTCCACAAGTTGTTTTTTGTTTTTTTGTTTTTCCCCAGAACCAGTTCAGGCCAAGGCAAAGCTTAGAAGGAGCTCAGTAAGTTCCGGAGGGAATTTGGGAAGCTAAGGAGCAAGGACATCAAGGCACTCAGTGAATGGGAAGACCCACCCTCAACCCCAGGCACTACCCAGCTCCTGCCAGAGGTTCTGGGCCTCCCAGAGCCCCTCTCCAAGGTTGTCCAGTTCCAAGGAAGGAGAATGACAGTTCCCTGGAGTTTCTGGGCAGCTCCAGGACCTACCCAATCCCCAGCTGTAGAGAAATCCGGTACCAATGGGCTGGGACGGCCAGGCGTGCAGGCGAGGCCTCAGTCAGCTGGAGAGAGGGCTCCTGAGGTCCCCATGAGCCAGAACCAGGAGCCAGCACGGCCCCAACCCTGCCCTAGTCACCTGCCTGCCATGACATTGACACATCAATACCTAATAAGAGGCAGGTAGAGCCTCTGTCACTATTGGGAAGACATTGCTTCTCCAGACAAGGTGCTGCCTGAGCATTCAAGCCAGACGGGGCTGTGCACCCCTCGCCCACACAGGCCTTGGAGACCTGGCCTCAGCAGCCCACAGGAGTGAAAGCCTGCTCTCTGGCCAGCATAGACAGTGCGTGTCACAGGGAGTATCCGGAAAGGCGTTTGCTCCAGAGAGGTCAAGCACACCAGCTCCAGAGAGAAAATGGAACGTTTCCCAGTGTGATGCTGTTCCAGCACTGGGAACTCGGGTTGAAATGGTGCCCCTGACACACAAGCTCTCTCTGTGTTCCTCCCTTCCTTCCTCCTCTCCCTCTCTAATACACACACCCTGGGGGTAGCACTGGCTTTACTTCCTGACCCCTGGCCCTGTCTCTAAAATCCTCCCTGATTAAGAAAGGCAGTTCCGATAGTGGATAAACACAGCCTGGGATGTTAAAATGTCTGCGTTGACCCCAACCCCCCCACTGACGAGCTGTGACTTATAGCAATCCACTTCTGTCCTCTGGGCCTCAGTTTCCCCACCAGAACATCTCTACAGTCCCAAGCCCCCCGTGGCTCAGGAAGCCCCGTCCCTGCGCGCGGTCCGTGTTCGTGGACGAGTGAGCCAGCGGTGCCTTCCCAGAGACTCACGCTCTGTGCAGTAGGGCCCTTTCCAGCCAGGGTTGCACACTTTCTCCCCACGCTCCCCACAGGTGAAGTGGCCGAAGGCATCGTCCCGGGGACGGCAGAAAACGGAGCAGCCCTCTCCGTAGTAGTGTTCGTCACACACGAAGCGGTAGGAGTACTTGAGGTCCGTGCGGCCGCTGCTGTGCAGGTCCTGGGACCACTCCTCGCCCACCGTCAGGTGCCTCTGGGTGGCCAGGCGGCTGATGAGTCTTTCTGGGTTTTCTACGGGGAGAAGATGCTCCTGGTTGGTTCTGAACGAGAACCCTGTGACTCGGGACAGAGCGGGGGTGGGCCGAGACATTCAGCACGGGAAGGAGGCCCAAGCTGCTCCACCCTGAACTTTCTGGGGCACGTGCAGAATGAAAGCTGTCCGGGTTTGGCTGGGGGATGGGTGGGCAAAGTCCAATGCTATTAACTGGGGAAAGCAGTTTTGGGGTTTGGGTTTTGTTTTTACCTGTTGCGAGGTCATCAGGAGAATCTGTGTGGAGAGCTTCAATAATCAGAGAGAAGGTGCCCTGGGAGAGAGGGGAGAAGACGTTAGACAACCCAGAAAGGTAACGAAAAGAAAACGGCAAAAAGCAGTCATTCCTAACAGCCAGGTCAGCAACAGAGGCCTGAAGGCTGCAGGTCTGGGGCAGCGTGTCTGGAGAGGGTCTCCACGCACCTCCTGCCTGCTCTCACCTTCCCTAAGGAAATGGAAGAACTTTTTAAAGAGTGGTTTCCTGACGTGTTTTTTCAGCCTGTACTACAGGATATTACGTTGTTTTTTTAATTAGAGAGAGAGAGAGAATGCAGGCAGGATGGGGTGGAAGAGGCCCGAGGGCCCTTGTCATTTTTCTTGGGGGATGGGCACGCTCCGGGTGGTAGCGGTCGCGCTGCGCGGGTAATCGCGCCACCAACGCGTCTAGGAGTCGGGAAACCAGAACCTTCCCACGTGAAGGGGCGCCTCTGACTGGAGACCTGGCACAGAGGCCGGATACGGAAATCTCCCGGGCGCGCTCGGCCTCTCCTCCTCGCCCCAGCGCGGTCCCCTCCTGCAGGCCGCGGGGCCCCGGGGCGAGGTGTCCGCGCTGCTGGGCTGGAGTCCTGGGGCCGCCGCTAGGCAGATCGCAGCGCCCACCTGCGCCTCGCGGGGTCCCCGAGGTCCCGCCACCGAGCGCCCAAGGCGGGATCCCAGCGCGTCCTGCAGCCCGCCCAGCTTCAGGGCCGGCCCGGCGCGCGCAGGTGCGGCACTCACCGGCCAGGTGAAGCCGAAGGGGAAGCGGATGGGGTTGCTGAACGCGGAGTCGGCGCCCCCGCCGTCGGGCAGACTGAAGGAGTCGACGCCCAGCACGGGGGTGACGGCGCTGCCGTAGGTGCAGGGCGGCTCGGGGGACACGCTGGCCTGGTAGTGCTTGAGGCACACGCGGAAGAAGGTCCGGCAGGCGCACGGCGGTGGCCCCGCGCCCCCGCGGCAGCAGTTGCGGTTCCCCAGCAGCCCCTTCTTGTTGACGAACTCCTGCAGCTTCAGTTCGAACACCCCAGAGCTCCAGACCTGCACGGGGGAGGGCGGGGGCGTGAGGACGCGGGTCCCGCCCGAGCTAGGGGGCGTGAGGCCTGGGTGGGGGGTGTGCGGAGAGCCTGGAAGGGCTCAGGGGCCGAGCGCGCTCGCTGCACGGCCGGCGCTGGGGTCGTCGCCCCCGGGATTCATCTTCCGGGCCGTGGCTGGCGCGGCCCGTGCCGCTGTCCGCCCCTCCCCGCGCGCTCCTGCCCCGCGCCCCGGCTACCCGTGAGACCCCGCGGGGCCGCGGCGCCCCCACCTGCCCGCCTACCTGACACAGCAAGGCCGAGAGCACCGCCAGGGCCAGCGCGCACCGACTGCCCATGCTGCTTCGCTCCACGCGCGAGCCTGGGGGGCCCCCACTTCTCTCCTTAGAACAGCGGCGGACGCGCGGGGGATCGATGGGCCACGGGGAGCGTGGGCAGAAAAGCGCCCTTGCCTCGCCCCAGACCGCAGGACCCAGGACTTCTTTCTTTAAAAGCCGGTCTCCGCCTCTTCCCAAGGCCGCGGTTCTTTATATCCGCCCTGCGAGGTCCCGCGGCAGCCCCAGGGATGCCCGAGGAAAGGCAGCTCTCGGGGGACAGCGCGGCGGCGGCGACTTTCGTTTTCCTCCTTCCTCCCAGCCCCCGAGGAGGTGAGGGTCGCCGGCTTCCTGGTTTTGTCTTGAGCTTCTTCGCAGGAGAGGGAGGGGGAGAAAGAGAAAGAGAGAGAGTCCAGAGATTGAGCTTAATTCCCAAGAGAGCTGCAGAGCTTCCTCCCGAGCCGATTAGAAAGCCGCGGTCTGGAAATCCCACGGGCAAGGCGATAATCCGGGGCCAGCGGCGCGCGCTGAGGGGACGGTCGGCGGCGGCGGGTGTGCGCGGCGGCCCCTGCGGATCGCGGCCCGGTGTCACTCGGCGGCGGCGGTCGTTCCGGGAGCACTCCGGGCTCCGATCTCCGGTGTCACAGCAAAGATCCGCGTCTTTCCGATGAATCCAGCCAATGCCATCCAGTACACACGCGCAGGACCGGAGGGGCCGGGCCGTGGGAGGAGGCTCTGCGCCGCGGCTGCCCGGGTTCCCCTGCGCTCTGCCCTCGGCCGGGTCGGGTCTCCGCGGGTGCGCGCAGAGGATCTGGCTCTCGCCGGCGCCTGCCGCCCTTATATTCAGCCGGCCGCCCGCATGGCTAATGAGATGCAAATCAGCAGCCCCCCAATCTGGCGAGAGCTGTCACAAAGGAGCCACTTTTCCAAACCCTCCTCTCAATGGATCGCCAAATGGTCAGTGAGCTGTAAAATGTGCAACCCTCCTCCCCGCCCCCACCCTTCCCCGCCCCCCCAGTCCTCCCCTGCCCCCGCCCCCAGCCCCCCCTTCCTCCCTCACCACACAAAACGCACTCATTTACATTCCTGCAAAATGTTCACCGCAAGAATCCCCCTGCTTCTGGAGCTGGTGCCGCCGCCCCGTCCCCTCCGCACGCCCTCCCGGGCCACAGACGCCCAGAGACCCTCGGCCACACGCGGGGGGCGGCGCTGCGGGCCCCACTTGAGCGGCGGGACGCGGCCTCCGAAACTCCGGGCCGCGGCGGCAGCCGAGGGGTCTCCTTGCGCCGACAGCGTCCCGGGGGCTTGGGGAGGGCGGCTGCGAGCAGGAGGACGAAGTTCGAGGCCCGAGCTCTTGGCGGGGCCGCCCCTTCTTCGGGGCAGGCGCTTCCTAAGGAGGAGTCTCTTGGGGGCGGAGGCGGGGGTGGCGATTCGGGGAGCATCGTAGGAAAGGGGCGGGCGGAGCGGTGGGCCGAGGGCTGCCAGAGCGAAGCGGCAGTTTCGGGAAGTTTGGGGAGGTCCGAGGCGGGGACACCTCCTGGCCCAGGACGGCGACTGAGCCTCGGGGAGTGCAGAGCCGACGCGCGGGCGGGGCCGGGACGCCCCCTGGGACACCCGCATCCCCGCGCCTTCGGTGTCCTCTCGTGGTCCGCGGCCACTGGGAGTAGGGGCCCGGGGGCCGGACAGCATATCCCCGGAGCCAGGAGAACCTGGCCTTCAACTCCCCCCACAGACACGCGCCCTCCCCCACAGGATCCTCGGCCGCCGCCACCTTCCCCGGGTCTCGGCCCCTCTCTCCCGGGTATCCCCCTCGGCCTCCCTCCGCCTGGTAAGAAGTGAGTTTGGTGTGTGTCGTTCGCGTGGCTGTCATTAAGGCAGCCTGTTATTGTGCGAGGCTGAATCAGTGGCTCTTTGTGCGCTCAGCTGTATGGTAATGCAGACAGCACCTGCTCCCCGCACAATGCGGAGAGAAAGAGCTCCCCTCCGCGCGCGCCGCGGCCTCTGCAACAATGTCCGGCGCATGTTCTAAAGCCCCTCCAGCCCCGGCCCCCAACCCACAACCTTTACACAACCGTCACCTTATTAGGTTTTTACACGTCCATCAGACACTAGAACTTTTGTTTTCATTTTTTAAAGGGAAATGAGTTTATTGGGAGGGCCGAGAACACACGTATGACACAATGAATTATCTAAATTGCCCTCCTAGGCACGATGGAGAAGTAAGTTGGGGCAGAGACTCCTACTCTGGCACCTAGCTTTGCACTTCTCCCTCTCTTTACCATCCCGCCCGTGGATCCCTGCCCACCCCCAACACCTCCGTAGCTTCATTAGGGTTCCAGGTGAGTGTTGGAGTGCCCCCTTTGATTGTAGCTCAGCCCCAAGGAAGCAGCCTGGCCACAGTGTCCTCACTGTAGGTGTGTTAGAGCTGCCTTATTGGTGAGAACAGGGCACCGTCAAGGTAGAACGAGACTTTCATCCCGGCAAATGTCTTGATCAAAGTGTCTAAGCAGAGGGAAAGTCTTCAAACACCAAGGACAACCACTGCAGCCAGAAATCTGAAGGTCACGTGGTGAAGTCGTCCAGGGCAGGCCCTCCGGCTGCTACGCAGCTGGAATTGCTACTCTGCGGCTCCTCTTCAAGTGACCCAGCCTGTGTCCTGCTACCTTGTTTCCCAAATACCTGTAAAGTTTTAGGATCAACAGAGATGTCCACTTTAGGTTTTCCACTGTTGCCTCATGGAATAGCGAAGAGTTAACCACAAGAAACAAGCATATGATGTTTAGTGCCAGGTGAGAAAGGCAGGCTGGGATCACCGTGAACCCCCTACTGTTTGGTTCAGAGCAAATGGAGGCTTCAGAAGATGCTGCCACCCCCATGATGGTGTCCTTTTTGGACTCTATAGGGACTTGCTGTCGCCACAGGGAGGGGCCAGCTCAAATCCTAATTTAATCTTGCCACCTAGTGTCAGGATCCTTTTTTCTCTAGGTTGATGTTTCCTCCAAAAGCTGACTTCGGAGCATTCTGCTTCCCTAAGGCACAGGAGCTGTTCCCTGTGCTGGGGGCTGGGGGTGGGGGTGAGGGTAGGTGAAAGGGTTTCAGGAGCAGAAGAAATGTAAAAAAAGAAGAGAATGCGAGGTCAGAATCCAGAATCCTCTGCCTGCAACACTGAGTGTAGATTTCAGTAAGAAATGAAATATCAGGAACCTTTTAATTAGAAAATGGAAGTGGAAAACAGGCTCATTTGAATGCCTGTTTAGAAAACTGGAAATAAAAAGTTCCACGCGCAAGGGCTTAAACCTTGGGGGGAAAAAGACTTGCCCCAAATCTCTAACAAACCCCCCTCAGTATCAAGTATTTGTTAAATTGACATGGCACAGATTTCTCGATTACGGCGGCAAAGCGGAACTGAAAGGCATCGTAAAATCCATCAGAATCCTGCCCAAAGCGTTCATTCTTTTCCAACTTAATTTATGCCACGCGATTCTGTATTGGGGAAATCAAGCAGAAAGCCCTTTTCTTCTTCTCCCTCTCCTTCCTCCTCCTCCTGTTCTCCTTTTTCTTTTCCTCCTCCTCCTCCTCTTTCTCCTACTCCACCTCCTTCCTCTTCTTCCTTCTCCTCCTTCTTCTCCTTCTTCCTCTCCCCCATTTCTCTCCCCCCACCCCCAAGTTGGTTCCTCTCTCCCTCTCTCTTTAAAAAGCTGTGCTAACGGGGAGACTGTTTAACTTCAGCGTTTCTATAGGAGCCTGTTGTAGTTTAACTCCTGCGCACCAGTAGCTGGGATGAACAAAGGAGAGACTCGAGGTCCAACTATTCATCCTTTCTTTGCACTTTAATTTTCATTGATTGGGAAGACAAGGGGAGCCCTTAGGGATTCGAGCTGGAGGGGACGACACGCCTTTAGACGCCATCAGCCCCCTAGCCAGCCATCTGCTCCGAACCAAATGGCGTTTTTTCACTCCCTAACTGCATGTCTCTATACTCCCACAACTAAGCACTCTGAACCCCACAAACGCAGGAGGGAGCTTAAGCCAGGGTATGTTAAATAGGCTTGCCTCAGTGTTGGCCCCGGCTGCCGGAGTCCCTCCTCCCCACACTATAAATCCTCACCTTGCTCATTAGGAAAAAACAGGAAACTTTCTTTTAAATACTTTTTTATGTCTCAGGAAATTTACTGTACAAAGTGAGGCTCATTAGGGCTTAGAAGGCACCCAATACATCAGACACAGAAGTGGAAGGAGGAATTTGCTGCCTGGTGGTGGTGTTTTTTGTTTTGTTTTGTTTTCTGGGCAGCACAACCCCACAGGCTGAGTAACCCCAGTGTCTAGGGTAAGCTCAGGCTGTATAATGATCAGAGCTGCAGCCACAGCAACCACATGTGGAGTTCTCTGTTTGCTGGAGACACTGAGTATCTCCCCACCATTTTATGAGGCCACCTGGGAATAAAAGCTTATGGCCATCATCTTATCAAATTCCAGTGCGGCCATCCTCAGCAGTGTGTGCATGACCTAATACCATGGTCACTCAATCCTATTCCAACCCCCCTTTCCAAAGAAAGGTTCTATTCTCCAGGTTCGTGTGTGGTGGTGACTGTGGTGGGGGCAGGAGGGCCTGGGCAGATTGCAATAAACAATGCCCAGAATAGGCTCAGACTCTAGGCCAGCCACAGGTTCAGTTTTCTGTGTAAACAAGTCTGGAGACTTGAGTGGGGTTTGTGTTTTCTCAGACCAACTGAATACTGTATACCCAACAGAGAGGTTCTCTTATTCGTAAGAAGAATTAGGGTCCTTGTTCAGAATAACAAGATAAAAAACTTCCAGGCAGCAAATCTGGTGTTGATCAAACATGCCAGCTTACTTGAAATAAAGAAGAAGAAGAAGGGGACGTAGACCATGCTTATTAATTAGTATTGGTATCACATCTGCACCAACCACCCTCTGCCCATTCTCCTTCCGTCAGTTTTGGAATCTGAAAGCAGTTAACGTAGCAGAGGAATGGACCTGCTGGCTGCCACACGGGAAGTTCTCAGAGGCGTCCGTGGCGAAGCCTCTGTGTCCTGGAGCTATCATGGTTACTTCCTTGCTGCTTACTTCTTAAAGCTGTCTTTGGACACGTGAACATAGACCTTACCCCCCAACACACACACTCACTGGGCCATGTCCCCTGCCCAGCCACGCCCACCCAAGTGGGTGCACAGATGTGTTCACACTCGGTTGCCGCGCGTGGACTTACAAGCCCACGAAGCCATCGTTCGTCACAGCCTGGAAAAGGGAGGGGGCATCGATCTGGTTTATGTTTGGACCTCGAGGCTCCACCAGCGCTGGCGCAGGCAGGAAGGAGGTGAGCGCCGCCCGCGTGCACACAAGGCGCGCGGCCCCCAGGCAGCCGCGCTTCCACAGCGGGCAGGAGCGCGACCCCCGGCGCGGGCAGCTCTGCGCGAAGGTGGGCGACGGTGGGGGCACAAGAACAGCAGCCGGGGGCGAAGGAATCAGCCCCGCAGCGGCTCCTAAGCCTCCCCGCTGGCCGCGGCTGCGCCGCTGGAGACCCGGCGAGTGACTTCCCCGGTGCGGCCGGGTCCCGGCGCCACACGCCCTTTTCCTTTCTCAGGATCCGCGGCCGTGCAGAGAACAGGAAGACGGGCTCCAACCCCACCTGGTTCGTGTCGGGGGGTCGTTTTGCGGTGGGGGGAGTCCGAACCGCGCCACGGGCCCGCGAGACGCCCACCTCTCGCGTGCGTGGAGCCCGGGGCCGAGGCCAGGCCCGCTGCGAGCAGCGGAGGCATGTGCTGATTTGCATGAGAACGGGCGGGTCGCGTGGCTCAGCTGGCGGCCCCGGCGCAGATGACGGCTCGGCAGCGGGCCCCCGCCCCCTCCTCTGCGCCGCGGCTCCTTCCCCTGGAACCCGCGGATCATCTGCTGGGGCTGTCCCGCGCCCCATCTCCATGACAAAGCGCGTGTTTACCTGCGGCCGGAGCACCGGCGGGCACGCCTTTGTCCCGGGATCAGATTACCGCAGCAGCTGCTGCGGGCCCGCCCCGTGCGAACCCCGGAGCTGCCCCTCCGAACTTTGTGCCGACTGAACGCGCCGGGACCCGGGGCTGGGGGGCCGGGTGTTGGGGGGTTAGAAGGAGGCCGCGTGTCCCAGGGAGGGGCTGTTTTCAGTGCGATGATTGCCGGACGCTGAGATCCGCGACGGGGAGTGAGCGCACCTGAGGGCTTCCTGGAGGTGGTGGCGGCGCCAGGCAGCATTACGAGGGGCACCAGTGCAAGGCCCAAAGCGCGAGGGCACAGGCGGCGCGGCCGTGCGGCGGGTCATCCCTGGGCCACTGCGAGGGCGGAGGGCGGCGCCAGGGCCCTCCCGGTGGACCCCAGTCGCCGTCGTGACGGCCCCACGCAGCCTCGCGCCCGGCCGCCGCCTCGTGCGGGACTCGTGCCCGCATTCCCACCTCACCGGGTGCAGCCGGCCCGGCCCCGGGCTGTGCGAGGCGACGGCGCACACCTCGGAGCCCTGGGGGCCGGGGTCGGCGGGCGGGGCCGGGGCGCGCCCTTTGTGCGCTCTTAGCGGAAACCGCGCGTTCCCAGAGGAGCGCGGCCCGCCGAGACCCCGGATCCCGACGCCAGGAGGTGCTGCAGGAGCCCGCGCGGGGTGGGGGTCTCCGGCCCAGGCCCCTCGGTACGGGCCCCCTGCGGCCGCCACCCTCCGCCTCCGCGCGGCGGCTCCTTTCCGGCTGCATCCGGGGGGTCGAGGCGTCGCACCTGGAAATCGCAGCCTGTGACTTTGTAAAAAAGTGAATGGGGAAGAAAAGGCGCTGAGAGGGGCGATGGGCGGACGGGCCGTGCCCACCACAGGGAGGTCGCGGCACCTGTCGCTCCTGGTTCCCAGGGCGGCCTGTCAATCACCCACGCTGGGCTCAGCTTGCCGGGAGCGGGGGCACGCGGGGGGCTTCAAGGCCCAGAGCTCAGAGGCTCGCAAACAATAAACTCAGAAACGTGGCGCGCACCCGCAGGGCCTGACACAGCCTCTGGAGTGGCCCCTGGGCCTGTCTGGCTGCAGGGTTGGTTGGCCGTGGGCGTGTGCGGCTCAGGGTTTCCTCCACGCCCTTTCACGAATGTCCCCACGGGACCCCGCGTCCCCCCAGGCTGCTCCAGAGGAGTCCCGGAGAGCGCGGCCGTGGAAGCTTTCGAACGCGCCGTGCTTCCCCGCCGCCCCCGCCTCCCTTTCTGTGAGCATCTGCCGGGGAGAACAGATGTGGGCACCTGCGGTGACCGGCTGCGTGCGTTCCATCCCATTCACAGGCATTCAGACGTGGCCACAATGAGCGGCCTTTGTGTGCACAGAGTCACTAAATATATTAATCTGTACTCCCCAGAGCACCGGGCTGTTTAATTTTTCACTAGCAATAACATCTGATCTAATCCTTAAATCGGCTCCCAAAGCCTTCCCTCCAGCCCACCCCGCCCCTCCCCCCGAAAAACGTGTGAAGTTATTCAACTTTCCACCTGTTGCCGGCTGCACTGGGCGTGGGTTATTGCAACCTCTAATGTTGGTTCAGGCTGGGTGGAGGTTGGGGGCCCGTGCTGGGGAGCTGTTGGCCCACATGGGCATAGGGAGGGTATGTTTATCAGACGGAAAATAAACACAAAGTGCGGAGTGTGGCTCCCCAAATGTTGTGCAAACAAAGAACAATAATTATTAAACAGCTTCCCAAGCAACCCAGCACACCCACCCCTTCTGTGTAAGGCCTTTAAAAATGTACATAAAGTTCCCATTTATCTTTTTGTTTATTAAACTCTAGCGGTTGTTATAAATACCGGTCAATAGGCCACACAGCCAAAAGGTAACATAAATCTCAGATGTAAGACTTAGATTTTTTAAGCAATTTTGTTGCATGACTCTTTTATCTTAGCATCCCTTATTTTATTTTGATTTGTTTTCGGCCACAATGAGTCCTTTAGTGCCATTGTGGACTCACAATGCACATGGACATCAGGCTGTGAATGAAGACAGAGGCAGTTTAAACAAACCAAGCTCTTTCTTTCCTTTCCTTCCATTGTAATATGAATGGGCCTTCTGCATTTGGCTGCTAGGAGACCGGCTTTGCAAAGCCCTGCTCCAATAAATGGGCTGGAGAGAAAGGGACCCCAATAAACAGCCCAAGTATCCAAGTATCAGAGGGGAAAAAAAAGAAGGAACAAAATTTAGGCAAGTATTTTCTCACTTTCAAATCAACATATTTCCTAATCTCAGAATGTTAGTTTCTATTGTTGCATTCCTTGCTTTCAACAGTTTCCTTCATTCTTGTCATTGTAATTCCTATTCCCTCTCTCCACCACTTCCAATGAGGAAACAGAACAGGGATAGTTCTGGATCACCATCAAGATTTGTTTTCAAGATGCAATATTTTCTTTTTTTTTTTTTTTTGTTCCTTTTAGTAAAATGGGAACTGGAGTGGCATATTTGTCGGTCATCATCACTAATAACTCATGATCATACAATGCCTTCAAAATTTATTCATTGGGGGATCAGTAGTAGCCTAGTTGGTGAGTCTGAATTTTTTTTAGGAACCATCACAAACTATGATTTGCTTTTCTACTATTGAGACTGTTCTTATTCCTGTTAATAAGCTGATTGAGGCAAGATGTGAGGCTGCTTGCAGGTTGCGAAGGTCCCAGGCACTGATTGTGTTAGAAAGTACCACCACCTGCCAGCTGTCACTCATTTCTCAGTGGCTAGAGCTCAGGCATCTGGGCACCAAGGAGCCAACCACTCTCCAGGCAGAGGGGAACCCACACTGACTTAGAGCTGGTGGGCTAGGGCAAGACATGCAGGAAGTAGAAGGCCACTTCATTTCCTCACTGGCTTGTTCACTCCTGACTCATCACAGGGGCTGAGGACCCAAAGTGGAACTGGACCTGTCTCTGCCACCAGGTGAATTATAAAATGAGTTGGGGAAGACTTTCTTGCTTTTCCATTTTCTGAAAGTTTGTGTAGGATTGCTATTTCCTCCTTAAAAGTTTGATAGAATTCACTAGTGAGGCTATTAGCACCTGGCCTTTTCTTTGTGGGAAGGTTTTTTTTATTGTTGTTGTTTTGTTTTGTTTACTTAATTCAACTTCTTCAATTAATATAGGCTTACTCATCATTTCTACTTCTTCTTTGTTCAGGTTTGGTGATTTGCATGGTTCAAGGAATTTCTTATCTAAAGTTGTTCAAATGTTCTTTTATTCCTTAACTGCAGGTGGTTTCTGTAGTGACACTGTCTTCCATTGCTGGGATGCGCAATGTGTGTCTTCTCTCTTCTTGAGAGATTATGATCAGAGTATTATAGGCTTATCAGTTGTATCAGTCTTATCAAAGAACCAGTCTTTTGTGTCATTGATTTTTCCCTGCTCTAGGCAGAGATGGGGCAGCCACTAGGCTCACCTCATTTGTTTTCCTCCTTTCAAGATTCTCCATCCTTTACTTCCTGTTGTCTGTTGTCTGAAAATAGTAATTTTGTATTTTTGTCCAGTTTTTTAGTTATTTAAAGTGGGAGGACCAGTTCTGTAGGAATTATTCCTTCTTGGATGGAAGCTAGAACAGGACACTTTTGGTTGTAACAGAACATCCTGATTCACTATCTGACTATGTATAAAGAAGATTCTCTCTCTTATAATCAGGAAAGAAGGTGGTTTGAGTGCTGGTTGATGTAGTGGCTCTGCCACGTCAAGGCCCAAGTGCTCTCCTTCTTTCTGCTCTGACATCCATGCCCTGTCAGTCACTCCATTTCCTGACTGCATGATGTCTGCAGCAGTACCAGACATCTTCACCATTACAATGATCATAAGAAGAGGAACATTGTCTTTCTACATGATACCTTTTATCAGCAATAAAACACTTCAGCAGCATTTAATGTGCATTCTCTATGTAGAAATCAGTATGTTTTCATGGTTTTGGCTTTTTGTCTTTCCTAATTTTTGGACGGTCAATTGTTACCTGTATTAGTCTGTTCTCATGCTGCTAATAAAGACATACTTGAGACTGGGTAATTTATAAAGGGAAGAGGTTTAATTGACTCACAGGTCAGCATGGCTGGGGAGGCCTCAGGAAACCTTACAATCATGGCAGAAGGGGAAGCAAACACATCCTTCTTCACATGGCAGCAGCAAAGAGAAGTGCAGAGCAAAGGACGGGAAAAGCCCCTTATAAAACCATCAGGTCTCATGAGAACTCACTCACTATCACCAAAACAGCATGAGGGTATCTGCCCCCATGATTCAATTAACCTCCCAGAAACTTCCTCCCACGACATGTGGGGATTATGGGAACTACAGTTCAAGATGAGATTTGGATGGGGATACAGCAAAACCATATAATTCCACTCCTGGTCCCTCCCAAATCTCATGTCCTCACATTTCAAAACACAATCATACCTGCCCAACGGTCCCCCAAAGTCTTAACTCATTCCAGCATTAGCTCAAAAGTCCAAGTCCAAAGTGTCTGAAACAAGACAAGTCTCTTCCACCTATAAGCCTGCAAAATCACAAGCAAGTTAGTTACTTCCTAGATACAACTGGGGCACAGGCATTGGGCAAATACACCCGTTCCAAATAGGAGACACTGGCCAAAACAAAGGGACCACAGGCCCCATGCAAGTCCAAAATCCAATAGGGCAGTCATTAAACCTTAAAGTTCTAAAATGATCCCCTTTGACTCCATGTTTCACATCCATGTCACACTGATGCGAGAGGTGGGCTCCCACAGCCTTGGGTAGCTCTACCTCTGTGGCATTGCAGGGTAAACCCCCCCCTCCTGGCTGCCTTCATGGGCTGGCATAGAGCGTCTGCAGCTTTTCCAGGTGCACTTTGCAAGCTGTTGGTGGATCTACCATTCTAGGGTCTGGACAATGGTGGCCCTTTTCTCACAGCTCCATTAGGTGGTGTGCCAGTGGGGATTCTGTGTGGGGGATATGACCCCACATTTCCTTTCTGCACTGCCCTAGCAGAGCTTCTCCATGAGGGCTTTGCCCCTGCAGCAGACCTCTGCCTGGACATCCAGGCATTTCCATACATCCTCTGAAATCTAGGTGGAGGTTCCCAAACCTCTGTTCTTGTCTTTGGCGCACCAGCAGGACCAATACCACATGGAATCTGCCAAGGCTTGGCACTTGCACCCTCTGAAGCCACAGCCTGATCTGTACATTGGCACATTTTAGCCATGTCTAGAGCAGCTGGGATGCAGGGCACCAAGTCCCTAGGCTGCACACAGAAAGGGGGGGCCTGGGCCTTGCCCAAGAAACCATTTTTCCCTCCTAGGCCTCTAGGCCTGTAATGGGAGGGGCTGCCATGAAGGTCTCTAACATACCCTGGAGACATTTTCCCCACTGTTTTAGTGATTAACATTCTTCTTCTCATTGCTTATGCAAATTTGTTGCCAACTTGAATTTCTCCCCCAGAAAATGGGTTTTTTTAATCTATTGCATTGCCAGCCTGCAAATTTTTCAAACTTTTATGCTCTGCTTCCTCTTGAATGCTTTGCTGTCTAGAAATTTCTTCCACCAGATACCCTAAATCATCTCTCTCAAGTGCAAAGTTCCACAGATCTCTAAGGCAAGGGCAAAATGTTGCCATTCTCTTTGCTAAAGCATAGCAAGAGTGACCTTTACTCCAGTTCCCAACAACTTCCTCATCTCCATCTAAGACCATCTCAGCCTGGACTTCATTGTCCATATCACTAACAGCATTTTGGTCAAAGCCATTCAACAAGTCTCTAAGAAGCTCTAAACTTTCCCACCTGTTCCTATCTTCTGAGCCCTCCAAGTCTCTAGGAGGTTTCAAACTTTCCCACATTTTCCTATCTTCTACTGAGCCCTCCCAACTGTTCCAACCTCTGCCTGTTACCCCATTCCAAAGTCACTTCCACATTTTTGGGTATCTTTACAACAGCACCTCACTACCTGGTACCAATTTGCTGTATTAGTCCATTCTCACACTGCTAATAAAGACATACCTGAGACTGGGTGATTTATAAAGGAAAGAGGTTTAATTGACTCACAGTTCAGCATGGTTAGGGAGGCCTCAGGAAACTTACAATCGTGTTGGAAGGGGAAGCAAACAAGTCCTTCTTCACCTGGCAGCAGCAAGGAGAAATGTGGAGTGACGCAGGGGAAAAGCCCCTTATAAAACCATCAGGTCTCATGAGAACTCAATCACTATCAAGAGAACAGCATGGAGGTAACCGCCCCCATGATTCAATTACCTCCCACCAGGTCCTTCCCATGACATGTGGAGATTATAGGAACTACAGTTCAAGATGAGATTTGGGTGGGGACACAGCCAAACCATATCATTGCCCAAATAAAATCTTGAGCTCATGTGGTTGTTATACTCAAAAGAAATTTCATTCAGCATCCAAATAAAAACTGCAAATACATCTTGCAGTCTATTTAAAGGGTCAACTTGTTACCAAGAGAAACCTGTCCCAGATGCCCCTGCCATTCATTTTCTGGGTTTCTCTCTCACAGCTGATGTGATGTCTCTCACTTTAGCTTTTTCCTCTGCATTAACCCCCAAATTCGCTCTACAGTTTCTTTTTTATTCCCCTTTCTTTTCCTATGTTTCTCTTTTATGTAAACCTCCATCCTATTTATAGATTTTTTCCCACACTGATAAACTGGCTGTGCACAGCAGAGCACAGGGAAGTGCTTGCCTGAGCTATGAAGCAGGAGGTGAAGCAGGATGTGGATAATCCTACGTAACTCTTCTTGCTCTTGTTACACTGATTTCTGCATGCAACTTTTCTTGTAGTCTCCCAGGAAAGAGACCTTGAAGTAATATTTGACTTTTCCTTCCCTTTGCTGTAGTGTACTGTAGTCATAACAATTTTTTAAAGCTTCAAGATTTAGACAGATTGGAATTTGAGTGACAGTCGTGCCACTTACTACCACTTGTATTAGTGAATAACTTTTTAAAACTTAAAAATTTTTCCTTATATCAAATATTTATAATCTTAAAATTCAAATGGTATTTCTAGATTTGTTAACAAAAATAGTAGTTGCCCACACCACACACTCCCACTCCCAATTCCTTCTCTTACATTTATCTCTTATATATTTCTTTTGTATATGAGAGAATTTACTCTACTTTCTTTTCCTTTTTTTGTGTGTGAGACAGCGTCCTACTCTGTCACCCAGGCTGGAGTGTGGTGGCACAATCCCAGCTCACTGCAGACTGAAACTCTGGGGCTCATATGATCCTCCCACCTCAGCCTCCTAAGTAGCTGGGACTACAGGTGCATGCCACCATGCCTGGCCAATTTTTAAAAATGTTTTGTAGAGATGAGGTCTCACTATGTTGCCCAGGCTGGTCTCCAACTCCTGGGCTCACAGAGTCCTCTTACCTTGGCCCCCCAAAGTGCTGGCATTACAGGCATGAGCCAATGTGCCCGGCCTTATGCTCATATTTTCTAAGAACACATATTTAATGTTCTGTCCTTACTTTTCAATTGTGCGTATAGTCTATGGACTTCCTAACTCTAGAAGACAAGGATTTAACTCTCCCACCCTCACTTCCTAGACACATGCACATTTATGTAAACACACGTAAGGTCACCTCCCTTTTTTCAAAAATAATTATAACACCCCTTTGGGTTAAACTCCCATTCAGCAATTATCTTGTTATAATTACATATTTATTCACAGCCAAGACATATGCTATATCCTTTTTTGCATATTGTTTTCACTAGATTCAATAATGGCCTCATTTATTTCCTTATTCACTTTCCTATCTAGCTATTACTTATCATCATCAAATTCTGAAGATCCCTTTTAAGATATTCATCCATAACAGGCATTCCATGTGATTCACTTCCTTCTGGAAACATCTCTCCTAGAGGCCTCTATCCCCTACTGTATAAGTCCTAGCTTCTGTCCTAGTACTTCCCTTCTCCTCTCTCCTAAGCTGGGACTTCCTGTTTTTTAGGTCCCAAATATTATCCTCTTTCTTGGCTAATTTCTTAATTTTGGAGAAGAATATCCTCCAGTAGCTTTCTGAGATAAGGATATCTGAAAATATCTACATCCTACCCACAAACAGCTAATATAGTGAGAGTTGAATTCTATGTTAGAATTATTTTCTTCAGAATTTTGAAGTTAATGCCCTATTGTATTCCAGCTTCCTGGGATTCTGTGGAGAATTTCCATGCCATTCTGATTTCCAGTCCTTTAAATGTGACCTTTTCATTTTTCCTTCAGGAAACTCTGAAGATCTTTTCTTTATCCTTGGTGTTCTGAATGCTGTGGCGATGTGCCTTGGTGTTGGTCTTCCTAGGTTTGTTGTGCTGGGCACCTGCTGGGCCCTTTCGATACGAGAATGTATCTTCTAGACCTGGGAAGATTTTCCTTCTCTTTTATCTTTCTCTTTCATTCCTATTTTTCACATGTCACATTTGTGTTTTCTCTTTTTCTTTTTTGTTCCATCATCTGAGCGATACCATCGAATCCATCTGGGAGGCCAATGAGCAGTCACCTGGTGGGGCTCCTTGCTCTGCCTGCCTTCAAGGCCTCCCCAGTCCAGCTCTGCTTCCTGCTCCCCTCAGCATGAACCTCCTGCGCATGAGAGTTTGGTCTCCTGAATTTTTCCCTCAGTCTCTTTCCTAGGTTTGCTCCTTCTGCTTGGAGTCCTTCCTCTTCTAACCCTTTGTCAGATCCTACTCCTCCTTCCAGGCTCAGTTCACAAACTTGCTCCTTGAAGCTTTTTCATCCCTGTCTTAGACTGTTCAGACTGCTACAGCAAAGTACCATAGACTGGGTTTAGAAATTCATTTCTCATAGCTCTGGAGGCGCTGAGGTCTCAGATCAGGCACCAGCATGGTTAGGTTCTGGTGAGGCCTCTCTTCTGGGTTGCAGGCCATCTTCTCACTGTATCCTCACACGGTGGAAAGTGGGCAAGAGAGCTCTCTGGCCTCGTTATGGCACTATTCCCATTCATGAGGCTCCACCCTCATGATTTATTCACTTCCCAAAGGCCCCACCTCCAAAGACCATCACGCTGGGATTAATTTCAACCTATGAACTTGGGGGGGGCGGGGGACAGAAACATTACAACCCTTACTCCTTACAATATGTTTCACTTGTTGCCTAGTATTTAAAGTATGTTAGTTTATGTCCCCAACCACGATGAGCACTCCTTAAGACTAGAGGTCATTTCACATACTGCTTGGTGTCACCCCACAGCACTAATCAGCAATAGGTGCTGAACACCATTTGTTGATTTTACTTAAAGAAAAGCCCATCAGGAAACGTAAGCCTTGTATGCTGAATCGAGATTCCTTCCCAAATCCTTTAATGCATACGTGGTGCCACTTCAATTTGGTAATGTTTTCTGAGTACCTGATCAAGTGCTTTGCTAGAGATTCTGAAGAAAATCAATAGAATGTTTTTCCTAGAACAATATTTGACCATTTTACTTTCCTGATGGAAGACTCATTAGCTCACCAGGGCTTATAGCTGCCTTGCTGAGACATACTGTGTGTAAGGATAGGTTTGGAGATACATCCTAAATAAGTTGATATTAAAAATTGACATTTGTCAATAACTTACTTTTCAGAAAAATAAATCAGATTGGTTTCAAGGTCGTCACTCACACGTGCCTGCCAAAATGTTTGCTTGGTTGTAGAGAAAAAGGCGGAACTGCAGCTAGAGGGGTGGACTTGCGCATCACCCGGAGCCCACCTGATCTCCTAGCCCAAGGGAGCATGTCCTGAAGGTGAGTTTCGCCATCTTAGAGCAGCTGCAGAAATAAGACTGAGATTGTGGACTGCAGAGTCCAAACTCCTGAATATGACGACAGGGACCTGCACGATCAGGTGGCACCTGTTCCCCTGTCCCCGCCACCATGTATCCACAGCAGCCACTGGAATTCCTCTGAAGCATCCTGCTCCCTCACTGCCATTGCCTCTGCCTTTCCTCTCTCTCCTTGGAATTCTCTCCCACCCAATTCCGGACTAGCAAACCTGCCTGAAACAACTTTCAGCTGAAGAGTAGTCCAGAGCAACAATGGTGACGGTCAGAACACCCGGCCGAGAAGTGCTCAGCGCTGACTGGGGCCGCGCCGTCCCGATACGGAGGCGAGGGTCGAACGCCAGGACGTCCCCGCTCCCTCCCCAAACGTGGCGGGGAAGCGCGCGGCGGGTCCCCTGTGCAGGAGCCCCCCGCTGTCCCCGTTTCCGGCCCAGGCGAGGCTCCCGGCCTCAGGGCCACCCGCCTGGGCCGCGCTCGCACAACTTCGGCCTGAGGCCCCGGGAGCCGCCAGTCCTCAGTGCCTCCGGCAGGACAAAGACCGGCATGCAGCGTCAAGACACCGTCCGGGCCGCAGGACAGTGTATGAACAAAGAGGTTCAAGGGCGGCACCCGCCCGACGCCAGCGGGCAGCTACCTGACTGCGCGACCCGAGGTCCGCCAGCACCAGAGCAGTTGCTGTGGCAACAGGCCGCGGCGTCCCACGCCGCCGGCGCCTGCGCGCCGCGTCCGCTGTCCGCGCCTGCGCGCCTCTCTCCCCGCCCAACCCACGACGCGGGCGCTCCTCACTCTCGCAACGGTCACGCAGACCCCGCCTCTGCGAACCCGGCCAAGTCCCGAGCGGAAGCGCCTTGAGCGGAAGCGGAAGTGAACGAGGCGGCTGTGGCGGTGGCTGAGGCGGCTGGGCCTAGGGTGCAGCGGGCGCGTCTGCGGCTGGTGTTGGCGCATCTCTAGGTAGGGCCGGGCCCGAGGGCACCCGCGGGTCTTCCGGGCCGCTCCCGGCCTGCGTGACCGTCCGTTACCCGCGTCCGACCCTCGCGCGCGTCAGCCCCTCGGCTTCTGCCCGGTCCCGATGCCTTCCTGGCCGTGCCTCTGTCCTTGTCACCGCGGCTGCGACATCATGGGATCCTCGCGTCCCCGCTGCCGAGCCCGTCGTCATCCCTGTCCCTGCGCAGAACCCTCCTGCCGAGCCCTGGTCCGCGTCATTGCGTGCTCCCCGACCTCGCGACCGTCGCCTTGCCTGCCCCATCTTGAGGTCACCTCTGACCCCTACTCCCTCCCTTAAGATGTGTGTTTGGCTCCTATATGTCATTTTTGGGTCAGAGCTGTTATCCTTCGTAGCTGCACGACTTTTCTGGTCGTCTCTAGAAGAGAGAGGCATCCTCTGATCTCTTCACTTTTCTCCCATCATCTGTGGGCTATCCCTGAATCAGGGCCCCAGCTCTTGGGGGAAAGACAGACAGAAAGACAGGGTTCCCTGCCAGCAAGGAGTTTGCAGACCCGTGGGATAACACTGAGCGTCAAGCAGATCCCACAATGTAGAAAGAAAAGGGTCCCTCGAGGGTGATTTGCCCAGGAGGGTCCAGGAAATTTCCATAAAGGTTGGATTTGAGCAGAGTTTTAAGTAGGAGTTGGGAGATGAACGAGAGTTGAGAGCCTATTCCTGGCAGTAAGAACATAAATGTTTAAGACATGAAGGTTTCAGAGTCTTGACATATTTGGGGAACTAGGAGTTGAGCATTTGTGAGACAAGAAATGTTGGTTAGGGATGGGGAATGGCAGGAAGGAAGCTAAAGAGAATGTGGGGCAAGGAAGTGATGTGATCAGATCTTAGCGTTAAAGAGATTCAGTCTGGCAGATATAGGGGTGGGGATGAGGGTGACTGCAGACAGACAAAAAGGCTTTTGTCGTCGTTCAGGGACTGGAAACCCCGAAATGGTAGTGGAGAGAACCTGGAGGTAAAGAAGTGAGAGGGTAGTCTTTCTGATGGCTTGAGCCCTTGAATAGAGAAGTGCCGAGAGGGAAAAGCCCAGAATGGGGACCATATCTGGAGCAGCAGGGTCCTAACCACCATCTCCTGAGTATGTGAGAGCATCTTATCCGCAGCTGTACTCCCAAGTTCCTCCGTGTCTAGTGTCATGCTTTTGTTTTTGACCTTTCTCTGGCCTCCCCTTCACATAGGCTCTTTGACCTGCCCATCTTTGGACTTTGCTGTTAGGAGCCACCCTCTGCCACCACTACAGCCTTCACACTCTGTGTTCTGATACCTTCTTCATCCCATTTCTGCCATCTCCCAGCTCCATCATTAGTGAGTGTTTCCCCTGACTTTGCCATTCCTTTTGTTTTGGAACTCTAATTGAGCCTTCTTACCAGTTGTATTCTTGAAAAGCACCAACACCATAGCTGGGTCGGGGTCTTCACTGCTCATCTTCATACACACGCACACCCCCACACACACCCCATTTTGTGACTACCTTGACCTTCCAGTTTTTTTGTTTGGTTTCTAACCACCTAATCTTCCAGACATACTGAAATCTCTGATCACCTGTGGCCCACTGAGAAAACTACAGTAGGTGACATCTGGGGTAACGTAGTTTTTAGCATTCTGAGATTTTACCCCATCCTGGAACCTGAATCTGGATACCATTTATGGGGCAGATTTACTGTAAAGCTAATGAAGTTCAGGTTTCTAGGTCTGTCACTTGCATGGGCCCTTACCTAGGCTCTGGGACCTCAGAGATCTTGTGTTTATAATTTGTATTCTTTTTTGAAAAGAGGGTTTCCAAATGGTATGTTTCAAGTCTTTCACAGCTTAGATCCCTGCAAAACTGGCTATTTGTCATATCCAGCCTTGAGATTTGCATTTTTGTCCTTCAGACACCTTCCCTTCCCTACCTCCTACTTCTTCCTCTTCTGGTGTGTGCTTTTTATTTAGGCCTGGAGAAACAAAATGTGAATGAATGGAACTGATCAAGTTCCTGCCATAACCTGACTTTATTTAGCTCTAGTGTCAGGAGGGAGATGTCAGAGCTTAGTAACTCAGCATGTTGGACAGGATCTTTGTAACTTCTTTGTTGCAAGCTTAAATGCCTGTATTGTTAGATTTATTTCACTGCTGAGTTGCCACTCCCTTTAAGAAAAGGTTGATGTTAAGAAGGATAGTCCGCTTAATGGAAATCATAAAAGCAACTCTTAACTCCATGGAAACTAGGGTTATACACTGTGTAAATTCACACAGGAATTTATTGTGACTTTTGATTTATTACTTTGAAAATGCCACCAGTTATTTTTATAGAACTTGATAATGAGTATAAATAATTGTAATTTGTGTTCTGTTGGAAAATCTTCAGATTTAAAACATGTTTAAAGTTTAAATTATTTATGCAAAGATAGGTATTTCTAAGGAATTTTTTAGTAGTAGTTTTAAATTTCCCTAATATGAGAAGTAAATAATTATCTTATTTTTGCAAATAAGGACATCAGTGATGTACAAAGAGGTTAAATGATTTGTCTTCAGCTGTACAGTAAATCAGGGCCTCCCTTAGCCAAAAAAGCCAGCTCCTGAGTACTGTTTTGCTTATAAACAAATATTAATAAAGAGGAATCTATTTTATCAGTTCTTATTATAGAACATTTAATATAAGATGGACCAAATTATATCTTTTGGTGTTTCCATATATTAATACCTATCTGTGCACATCCGTATATATCTACACACTAGGTTCTATAAAAGTGGGCAGTGTTAATACTGTTCCTATTAGGACTTTAGTCCAAAGAATTAATTTAATTTGGATTTGTGCAAATTATTATAAAGTCATTTACAGTAAAACCATGGCTAACTATGATAAGAGCATATTAACTTTCTGAATAGCAGAGGAGTTTTCTGGCTAGATTAGGTTTTTGCCCATTAAGCACCAAAATATCCCATTTAGGTTGGGAATCTTCCTAAAGTATATTATTTCTTGTGTTCTTAAATAGAATGTGCTGAATGTGATGTAAACTTTCCTCAATGCTCTCAAGTGACCATTTAGATATAATGTTATGTTGTGATGTGAATAGTAATGTTAGGCTTATTGAGGCATATACAGCTATTTCCTTTGGGGGTTTTTGCATCTTTCCAGTTTTTAAAGTTTTCTGTCCTATTGTTTCCTTGGGTCAGCTGTTAGCACTTCTAACTGCTGTCAGTTTTCCTGCCCAAAGTTTCTATATTTTTCTCTACTATGGGTTTAGGAGCTAATTGTTAGAACTGATTAGAAAGGTAGTCCGTAGATGATAATAAAAGCCTAAATAAGTGTCTTGTGAGTAAGTTGTTTATGCTGCATCAGCCTCTAAGGGGTTTTGTAGAGCACAGTGTGGGTAGGAAAGGCCAAGGGCACCAGAGTTCTGGGTTGCTGGGAAAAGCCAGAGAGTCTCTTTTATTCCTGATCCTCCTCTCAGAGCCCACCGATAGGCTGGTGACTGGGAATAATGTAGGAAGGAGAGATCTTGGGTAAGGAAACATCCCACAGGGTGGCTCTGTGGTGAGGCCCTTGCCCCACTGGCAGCACACAGCAATGACCAGATCACTAATCTACAGCAGTGCTAAGTGAGGGTTGTGGCCTAGTGAAAGGCAGCTGGGATCTGGAGTCAGATGGATTCAAATCCTGCCCTCCTTGTTAATTACTGCTTGTGGCTTCAGGCAGGTGATTTCACCTGACACAAAGTTTGCTGCCTCCCCAAAGTGACTCCTGCCTTCTTCTTTGCTGCTAGAATGTGTCTTTGACTTAAGAGGCTGCACAAAACTGATAATGTGCTCTAATCTGGGCCAGTGGGACTAGAGGGGCTGCCATGGGACTTTTGGAGTAGACTGCACACACTTAGACAATTGAGTACATTTTGATATATGTGTTACAGCCCCCAACCAAAGCTCTCTGCTTCTCAGAGGACTCCGAGTCTTTGTTTGCCTCCTTCCTCAGGGTTCATGGTCTTAGCTGGGGATCTTGTCTTATTCATTGCTGTATCCACAGCTCCTAACATAGGCCTTGGAGCACAGTAAATCCTGAATGAGTATTTATGAGTGAATGTGGGAATTTGGTTGAGTTTAGATCTCATGTTCTTAGTGTATTTCTGGGGGGATAGAAGAGGGTCTCTCTGCCCTTCTTTTTCTTCTGTGATAGGAAGTGGCCCTGCATCCCTCTAGCCTTGGGATTCTCCCAGAATAGGGAGGGAGAGTGGATGCTGAACAGCCATAGCACCTGGTTCACGATGGACCATCTGACTCCAGTCTTGTCTGCCTCCACCCATCCCCAGAACATACGCAGAGCAGTGTTTCTGAAATGCACTTGCTTGAGTCCTTAGTGACATCTTGTTTCCCTTTGGGTGAAGCGTAGACATTTTAGCATGGTTTGCCAGGCCTTTCATTCATCTGGCCCCAACTCCTCCAGCAGTATCTCATCTCTTCATCTTCCCTTAAAATAGGTTCTAGACATACTGAAGGTGAGTTTTTTTTCCCCATTTCTACACTTGATGAACAAATTTATAAATACAATTGCAAGTTAGATTAAACTACTTAATAGAGCAGATGTTTTGAGCACCTAATAATTTGAAAAAAGATACCTTGCAGACCTTTAAAAGATTTCCTCCGTGTTGCTCATGCCTTCCTCTGGCCACACCTGCCTGTCTTCAGGCCTTGCCTTGAGTACCCTCTCCTCAGGGTTTGTCTTAGAGCCCTAAACTAGGTTGGCTTTCCCTGCTGAAAATTCCCCAGCACTCTTACCTTCTCTGTCCTACACTCGTGTCCAAGAGACTGTTGTCTGCTGGAGGGCAGGGATCTCATCTGTCTTGTTCATAGCTCAGTGACTACTCCAATGTCTAACATAAAGGTGCTTGCTGAATGAGTAAGCCAAATTTATTTTCAAATAAAATTACCTGGTATTGTTGAAGAGAGCTGAATATTCATGAGTTACAAGTGGGTCTGTTCTTGATGCAATGCTTTTGGAGAAAAACTACCAATATGTGCCTATGCCGTGACTCAGCAGCTTCCTAACATACTAAGGAAATGATCAGAGGTCTAAGACTTATATACAAGGATGCGTTTCATATTCTTAGTTATGGCGTGCAATATCAGAAATAATCCAGGTGTTCTCCAGCAGAGTTAAAGAACTTACGTCCACGTTGTACATCTGTTATACATGACACTGTAGGAGAACAGTGACATCATGAGTTGGGAATATATTTATAACAAATTAGACACAAACAGATTATAAAAGTATAATCTCAATTTTTAGAAGCAGTGAATAGTAGAAAAAGGCTGAAATATGTAAAATGTTTAAAAATTTTTTCTTGTGTTTTCTCTGAATTTTCTGCAAATGGTTCGTTTTTTGATCAGATTTTTTTACAAATTAATATATTTCCCAATATTAAAAAGTAATCTAGCTTATAAAAATTATAAATACAATAAAACCTCCCTAAAATTTATGTCTTTGTTTTAAAATTTGTGATAATTTAAGAATTTTGACATATTGGGCTGATTTTACTAAACTTTAGGCAATTGATAAACATGTTTGATGAACAAATTTATAATACAATTATAAATAAAATTGTACCACAATTTCACTGTTACTAAGTGGCAGTTAGAATCTGGACTGTTGCATTTTATTCTGGAACTTTTCGTTTTATCAACAAAACTCTACCCATTATTCTCCCACTTCCCCTGTGACATCAGCTGGCACCAGTGGTTGTGGCCCGACTGTTCTGAGGTATCCTCCAGGGCACCCTGAGTCTAGACATCTATTCCTAGAAATTCTAAAGTGCATAATAGCTATAGGCTTTCTTTGAGGTGCCGATGTTAAAATTCTAACATTTGTTCAAACAGTAGGAAGATTTTACTCAAGACTATTGCAGTGAAGGAGAGAGATCTGGCTTAGCTCTGAATACAGTGAAGACAGCTGGGGATTTACAACCAAGGAGCAGAGTGAAGGGGTGAGGGGATGGGAAATTTCTAAGGGAAGACATCAGGGATAGGGAAATTCTTGCTGAAAGCAGGCCAAGGTAGCCAGATATCAAAGGTGGGTTCTCTTTAAACTGACTTAACAGGATTCTTGCTACAAGCCCCAGATTGAGGCCTGGTAGAGAGGAGGGCTCAAGGCCCTAGCAAAAGTGTGGTCAAGATGAGAGTCTTTATCGGTGATTGGGAATTCTTGCAAAGCTCAGCAGTTTAATGACCCCTGTATGGAGATCATCTGAAGCATCAAGACCAACTTAACTGGCACCCACCCTTATTTATTCACCTGGTTGTTTGTGCATTCATAAATAATAAACCTTCAGCAGATACTATCCTGTGTGCTGGCAAGGGATAAATATTAATCTCTTGGGATTTTCGGTCCCTGTTCTCACCCAACTGGTGTTTAAGAGGTCCCTATGAGTTTCACTTTTTAGGCGGGGGAGGAGAGGAGAGAAGAAAAAATAGACCTCAGATACTCCACAACAAGCCATGGGGGAACATCACTGGGAGAGCCTGGGCCCAGGCCCAGCCAGAAGTTACCATTGAAAGAAAAATTACTTTGTACTTGGAAATAAAACAAGAAAAAGGAAGACTTTGTGTTTTGTATTGTCATACTGGGCTGTTGTTTCAGACTCACCCAAGATTATTTAATTTTCTAACAGACTTACCTCTGTTTGGCTTTGCTGCTTACTCTCCATTAGAGTACAAACATTGTGATGTTATATGCTAGTTTGTAGATTCGAGATGCGAATTATTTCTGTGCAAAGATTATGGTTTTATTGTCTCCAGCTTACCTTGCTTATTCCAATGTGCCTTTGCTAATGGACTGTGTGAGCTTGAGCTCCTCTAGTGCTCTGATCCAGCTTCCCTGTCTCTTACGTGCCATTGCTTATTACTACTTGCCTGAGTTATGTCTTTTAGCTTTAGACAGTTATGCTTTGACATGGCTTAGATGCTGGGGGTCTGTTAAGGTGGTTACAGCAGCCAAGTATTGGTTGTCCCGCAGAGGCTGCTGTCCGTGTGGGGAGTTGCCCTTGGGCTGTCTGTAAGTCCCTCATCCCTGTGTCCAGAGTGACGCCAGATGAGTCTTCCTCACTGTGTGTGCGTCCATCAACATCAGGCAGCTTTGTTTATGCTGAGCGCATTGCTCTTAACCTCAAGGTTTGTAAGTTGAAAGATTATAGTAAAGGAGCTTCTGAACTTCTCTTTGCTCTTTCCATTTCCCTATTTACTGGTAACTCAATACCCTGGGACTGGTCTGACTGTCAGGAGAATGAGCCAGCCCTAGGAACAAGGCAGCCTCCAGCTGTACCTTATGCCTGCTGCAGCTCCTTACTGGGATTTCCTGCTGGTGCTTTGTTTCCCAAACCCTTTGTAAGCTGCTTGAGGGCAGTGATTCTACTTTGCACTGCTTCTTTGGCCATAATTGAAGTCTGTAACTTACTGATTCCTGATTTCTCTTTATATACTGTCCTTGGATTAATTCATTTATTTATTCAAATACTGGGCCTGTCCCATGCAGATGTTGTGCTAGGTGCTGGAATAAGACAGGATGGTGAGCCCCACCTCAAAGGGAGTGATCCCCAAAGGGTCCCAGGCCATATTTGGGGCAATTAGACTCCTCCCTAATGAGAAATAACTTCTGTTTTCTTTCTAAACAACTATTACCTAGATAATGAAAATTTCTTATATAATTTGCAGGTAGAATGACTTTTATATACACATATTATTTTCCCCAGTCATCCCATAATAACCACCTTTAGAGAATGAAAAGCCTGCATATATGCTCTTAGCAATGAAAGGCTTAAAAAAGAAAAAATTTAAAGCGATATCCATGGAATTTTCTATATCTTTTTATACATTTTATTCCCTACCTCACTAATTGCATTGATGAATAGATGTTGTGAGTATTTAGCACTTTGAAGATACTGAAATACTGGAAGGCATCCTCTAATATCACAAGTTCCCAAAACCTTTGCTATCCCAATTTTTCTTGGTAAGTAGTATAGAAGAGCACATTGTAATGTCACACTCTAACTCATGATTCAAACTGTGAGAAATTGGTCCTGTGTGTCTTGAGCAGTCCAACCAGCAACTCTGGGAACTGCCTGGCCTGAGAGCCCCACTGGCTGCTGACCACAGTGGGCGTGCGGTGAACCCTAGGGCCTGGCTTGCAGTCAGGTTCAGTCCTCTGCTTCGACTGTATTCAAATGCTGTTCCTTGTTTTTTCCTTTCTGCTGTCCAGGGGCTCTCCTGGGCCTGCAGCAGCCAGCACAGAGCTTGGTGAGAGAAGTGGGGCCTTCCCTCACAGCGTAGAAATCAAGTCACACTCCAGATTTGTGAGGCTTATCTTTGGCCAGCTCATCATCAGCAAACCATGCAAGGCCTGTTTAAATTAAAGCCAGGCATAGAGCAGTCGTCTAGAGCTGGTGAAATCTAAGCCTTCTTTTAAAAGCCATTTTGACCAACCTTTTTTGTATTCTTGTATTTCCTTTCCAACACCTGTCCCCTGCCTACTCTGTTGGAATAACAAATGAAAAAGAATACCCTTTTTCAGAAATAAGAGTGTAACCTTCCTGGACATAGGTTCCATGCCATAGAACCACCTTACAGTTGACGTAATCACACTATGAAGCCCAGTTTCCACTTCAAAAACTCAAATACCTTGGCTATGTTTCCAAGATAAACTCTTTACAAGTCACAATACTGTAGTGATTTGGTGTAGATGTGTGAATGTATCCCATTATATTTAATAACTTTATGAGCAAGCCTTCTCTAAATGTCATCATAAAATGTGTGCTATTTATGTTCACCCAATTTTTGCATATTTTCATTATGCAATTAATGAAAATCCCATTAATGTGGCTATTAAAAGCATACCCTCAAATTCTACTGTTAGGGGCTAGAGCCCATTAAAAATCAGTAAATTCTGTTTGGGCACAGTGGCTCATGTCTAATCCCAGCACTTTGGGAGGCTGAGGCGAGAGGATCGCTTGAGTTCGAGAGTTTGAGACCAGCCTGGACAACACAACATAGTGAGATCTTGTCTCCACTGGAAAAAAAAAAAAAGGCCAGGTGTGGTGGCAGCTAAGACAAGAGGATCGCTTGAACCTGGTAGGTTGAGGCTGCAGTGAACTGTGATCACCCCTCTGCACTCCAGACGAGGCAACAGAGTGAGACCCGGTCTCAAAAAAAAAAAAAAAAAAAAAAAATCAGTATATTCTTAAAAGATAGTCCTGTGAGGATGCCTTTTCTCAACCTAACAATTTATAGTTTCTTCATTTGTAAAATAAAGCTGATAATATTTACGTGTCAGGGTCGTCCTAAAGATTAGAATGTAGATGTTAAATGCCTACCACTGTCTGGCAGCTGGGAAATACCCTCAACATGAGAGATACCCATGTGCTTAGTCACCTCATGACTGCTGCCTTCAGCCTGTCTAGGAGAGGCGTCATTTGTTTTGTGCTGCTGTTTGTATATTAAGAATTTTTTGTTGTGTTTTATCAAAGGACATAAAGCCTGCATGACTCTTAAAGAAAACTATAGTGGAAAAAGCATAGATCATAAAAATGTCAGCACGGAGTTTTTCTGACCATTCACGCACATCATTGCCTACTTGAAGAACGCCTTTTATAATGTCATATACAATATTGTGCTCATACCTTTTCCAGATTCCAAATTCTAACTGTAAACTACTTTGTATCTGTCTTTAAATTTTCAAATGGGCAGTTTCTCTGCAAAGTCAGTCAATCACTATCTCAGATACTACAACATTTGGCATAGTGAATTTTATGTGGCCTTCTTAACACCTTTATTCAGGTGTATGTGACACATGTTTACAGTATACAGTTTGGTAAGTTTTAACATATGCATACACTTGTAAAACCATGACCACTAAGTGGTTAATGTATCTGTCACCCCCAAAAGTTTCTCCTTGGTAATCCTTCCCGCCACTGTCTGTCCCCATCCCAGACAACCACTGATCTGTTTTCTGTCACTACGGATTAGCATAACTCTTCCTGTACTAGAATTTTATATAAGTTGAATCATAGTGTGTACTTTTTTTGTCTGACTTCTTTTACTCAGAAAAATTATATTGAGAATCATCCATGTGGTGTTTCAATTTATGTTTTAGATTTTTAACAATAACTTCTGTTTGAGTTCCTAGATGAGAAATACTACTACTTTGAAAACTTAACCTCTTTTTGAATTTTATCAAGAAATACCTTGAATGATAATCTTAGTGAAAACATTAAAAGACTGCTATACTCTCTTGTCCTTGTGAAAGTCCAACTCAAGTAATTAACTTATACTTAGGTAAAGTTCCTCATATGTTTGAATTGAGAACTCTTAAGGCTCCTAACCAGCATATCATGTTACCTTGGAGACAAGAGTGTTTTTGGAAACAGTGTGAATATTAACTACTGTGTTTGCTTTGAAAGGTGCCATATATCTAATGATAATGCCATAATTACTGATTAATTTATCTTTCTTTCCAGATCCTTTCCCGGAGTTCAGTTATGGGTGTGAGAGGTTTGCAAGGATTTGTGGGAAGTACCTGCCCACATATATGTACAGTAGTAAATTTCAAAGAACTGGCAGAGCACCACCGAAGCAAGTATCCTGGATGTACCCCTACCATTGTGGTTGATGCCATGTGTTGTCTCAGATATTGGTATACTCCAGAATCTTGGATCTGCGGTGGCCAGTGGCGAGAATACTTTTCTGCTTTGCGAGATTTTGTTAAAACTTTTACGGCAGCTGGGATCAAGTTGATATTCTTCTTTGATGGCATGGTGGAGCAGGATAAGAGAGATGAATGGGTGAAACGAAGGCTCAAGAACAACAGGGAGATATCCAGGATTTTTCATTACATCAAGTCACACAAGGAGCAGCCAGGCAGAAATATGTTCTTCATCCCCTCAGGGCTAGCTGTGTTTACACGATTTGCTCTAAAGACACTGGGCCAGGAAACTTTGTGTTCTTTGCAGGAAGCAGATTATGAGGTAGCTTCCTATGGCCTCCAGCATAACTGTCTTGGGATTCTGGGGGAAGACACTGATTACCTAATCTATGACACTTGTCCCTACTTTTCAATTAGCGAGCTCTGCCTAGAGAGCCTGGACACCGTCATGCTCTGCAGAGAGAAGCTCTGTGAGAGTCTGGGCCTCTGTGTGGCCGACCTTCCTCTTCTGGCCTGCCTCCTTGGCAACGACATAATCCCAGAGGGCATGTTTGAAAGCTTTAGGTACAAATGCTTATCGTCCTACACCTCTGTAAAAGAGAACTTTGACAAAAAAGGTAACATCATATTAGCTGTGTCAGACCATATATCGAAAGTTCTTTACTTGTATCAAGGTGAGAAAAAATTAGAAGAGATATTACCTCTGGGACCAAACAAAGCTCTTTTTTATAAAGGAATGGCATCATATCTTTTACCAGGACAAAAATCTCCATGGTTTTTCCAAAAACCCAAAGGTGTAATAACTTTGGACAAACAAGTAATATCCACGAGTTCAGACGCCGAATCCAGGGAAGAAGTTCCCATGTGTTCAGATGCTGAATCCAGGCAAGAAGTTCCCATGTGTACAGGCCCTGAATCCAGGCGAGAAGTTCCCGTGTATACAGATTCTGAACCCAGGCAAGAAGTTCCCATGTGTTCAGACCCTGAACCCAGGCAAGAAGTTCCCACGTGTACAGGCCCTGAATCCAGGCGAGAAGTTCCCATGTGTTCAGACCCTGAACCCAGGCAAGAAGTTCCCATGTGTACAGGCCCTGAAGCCAGGCAAGAAGTTCCCATGTATACAGACTCTGAACCCAGGCAAGAAGTTCCCATGTATACAGACTCTGAACCCAGGCAAGAAGTTCCCATGTATACAGGCTCTGAACCCAGGCAAGAAGTTCCCATGTATACAGGCCCTGAATCCAGGCAAGAAGTTCCCATGTATACAGGCCCTGAATCCAGGCAAGAAGTTTTAATACGGACAGACCCTGAATCTAGGCAAGAAATTATGTGTACAGGCCATGAATCCAAACAGGAAGTTCCCATATGTACAGATCCTATATCCAAGCAAGAAGACTCCATGTGTACACACGCTGAAATCAATCAAAAATTACCTGTAGCAACAGATTTTGAATTTAAGCTAGAAGCTCTCATGTGTACAAACCCTGAAATTAAACAAGAAGACCCCACAAATGTGGGGCCTGAAGTAAAGCAACAAGTAACCATGGTTTCAGACACTGAAATCTTAAAGGTATGTGTATCTGCCCAGCCAATATGCCATGATTGAAAATATATCCGCTGATGGATTTGTTAGTGAAGATCCATTACTGCCTCAGTGTTTGGCCACTGAGAGGATGCACAACAGGAGTCTCTAAGTCTCGTTAGGAAGTGTGACGTTATATGTGTGGAAACTCACAACCAATGTTGGATACTGTCACATGAATATTATAGAAAAGTGCTATAAGAATACAAGAGAGAAAGAGAACATTGTGGGTTAAAGTACAGGGAGAAGGCCGGGCGTGGTGGCTCATGCCTGTAATCCCAGCACTTTGGGAGGCCCAAAGCAGGTGGGTCACCTGAGGTCAGGAGTTCAAGACCAGCCTGACCCACATGGTGAAACCCTGTCTCTACTAAAAATACAGAAATCAGCTGGGCATGGTGGCGCACACATGTGATCCCAGCTACTCGGGAGGCTGAGACAGGAGACTTACTTGAACCTGGGAGGCGGAGGTTGCAGTGAGCTGAGATTCTCCAGCCTGGGCAATAAGAGCAAAACTGTCTCAAAAAATAAAAATAAATAAAGTACAGGGAGAAGTTCCCCAAAGAGGTAGAACTGGAGCCAGACCTTAATGGGGCAGCCAAAATATGCATTGAATAAGCAAAGACTTGGGAGTTGTGGAAGTACTAAAGGTGTAGCGTTTTGAATCTGCATCACGCGGGGGCGCAGGGAGAAAGTCCAGGCTAGAGCGTGGGGTTTGGAGAAAAAAATGGGAAAAGGTGGACAATCATAGCCAAATTGGGAAGGTTATTAAATGCCACATGAGGAATTTGGACTTAATTCTGAAAGTATTACAGCGCCTTTGAAGATTTTTGATGGGGGGCCACTACGTGTGAGGTTCTGTGCTAGGTGCATTAGGTAACTTTTCTCATTAGATCTTCTCAACAGCCCTGTGAGATAGACTTATCCTTGTTTTACAGAAGAGGTCTGTGTCCACATGAATGTCTCAAAGGTACCTCAGCAAGTTCTAAACCAAACTTAACTATCTTAACCACACACCTTTCCTTGTTCCCAGCACTATGAGCACCACCATCTTTCATCTAGTTACAACTACATAGATCTGTAAGGAAGCTCCTGCTCCTAGTCTGATGCAAAACTCAGGCCCGGACAGCAGCTGAGCAGCTGTGTGGTGATACCTGGAGGGCAGCCATGTGAACCTGCCAGCCAACCAGCATTCGATTTTTTTTAAGCAGGTATATCGATATGATCAGATTTTTGGTTTTTGAAACATTACAGTGCAGTGAGTGGATTTAAAGTGGCCATTGTAGTAACTCAGGTAAAATACAAAAGAGCTAGAATTAGGAAAATGGCAGTGGAAATAGGAAGAAACAAATTCAAGAAATGTTTCAGAAGTGAAACTAATAAATAAGTCTTGCTGTGGAGGTGAAGTTCCTCCTTGAGTACCGGCGATGGTAGATGGTGTTAATCTAAAGAAGAAGGAGGAAAGGTTTTACAGGGAGAAGAAGATTAAGTGGGTTATATTTTAATTGAGTAGATGGCACCTCTAACACATGTTCTCGTAGTGAAATATGGACCTAAAGTTCTATTACTGGCAAGAGACAGACATCTGGGAGTTATCCTATTTTATGTGTAAAGTAAAAGATGATGTGGGATGGAGACTTAAGGAACAGTCCACTGAGAGATCAGGAGTGAGCAGAGGAGGAAGGAGAATAAGGAGGGGATAATCCCCACAAAAGTCCAAGGGGGCAAGTTTCAAGAATGAGAAAAGAAACGGTCAGGAGTATCACATGCTACAGAGGTAAAGAGGTAGAATAGGACTAGACATAGGGACTTGGGTCAGTAATTAGGAGGTCCTGATGGCATCAGAGAGTTACTGCAGCACAGGGTTGGGAGTGGAGGCAAAGCCGACAGGGAGTTTGGCAGTGGAAGAGACTTTGTTGGGGAAGGCAGGGTCAAGGAGAGTCCTCACAGGAAGGGAGTGCCTGGGCAAAGTGGTGGGTCGAGAGTTGTTCACATGGATTGAACTTAATTGTATCTTTGAAAACAATTTTGAAGTTTCTTACATTGCCCTTACATTTTCTCTATAAAATTTTTTTGCAATGTCATCTTCAAACCCTAACAGGCAACTAAAATTCAAACGTGTATTTTAACCATACATAGTCACCCTGGAAAAATGCTCAGGTAGAAAGGCTGTGGGCACAACAGTTACATTGGATACACGCATAACCACAGCCTTATATCTGTGTCTTCTCTATGTCAGCATTTTGGAAGATCAGTTGAGTTACTGTTTGTTTCTTTGAGTCAGGGTCTCACTGTCACCCAGGTTGCAGTGCAGTGGCACTATATCCTCTGCCTCCCAGGTTCAAGCAATTCTCCTGCCTCAGCCTCCTGAGTAGCTGGGACTACAGGTGCACTCCACCACGCCCAGCTAATTTTTGTATTTTTTAGTAAAGATGGGGTTTCGCCATGTTGCCCAGGCTGGCCTTGAACTCCTGACCTCAAGTGATCCACCTCGACCTCCCAAAGTGCTGGGATTACAGGCATGAGCCACCGTTCCTGGCCGGATAGTCTTATAATCTTATAGAACATGCATTGGCAGTGAGCTGCAAGCCACACCTCAGGACAAGTGCTTTTCTTATATTGACTCATTTAATCCTCACAGTAGTCCTGGGAGCCGGGCACGTTTTTATTCAACCCATTTTCTATAGGAAGAAGGTAAGGAACAGAGAGATTAAGACTGAAGCCTATGAATAATGAATCAACATAACTAGGACTATTTAAATACATATAAATGAGACACTCTTAGGATTCAGAGTTTTTGGTATCCAGGTTATTCTAGCATCACATTTTAATGCCTTTAGTAGTAGACTGGATTTAAATTTTGAATAGTAATCTAGATGAACTTATTCTCACAGTAATAAGAATGTTCTTCACTGGAAGGTAAAACCTATATATTCAGGCTATGATAGCCCTTCTGATTTTAACTACTTACTTAATGAGAAAGTGGAATTAATTTAAATCATGTATCTCATCACCTACCATGAGCCAGCACTGTCTTGACATTACAGAGGAGAAGCACCTGTGCCTGGCACATGGTTTTTCACTCAGTAAACAATTTCTCAACAAATGAGTGAATGAATATAGTACGGCTTCTAACACTAAGCAGCTTACAGTTTAATAAGGGAGGCAGACCAGACAGCTGCGTTACAGGGAAAATAGGATATGAGCTCCATAAGGCAAGCTGGATGTTGGTCCTGTCTAAGGGAGGAGGAGAGGGTGACATCAGCAAACCTTAAAGGGAAAAGAGGATTGTAAAGTGGGAGGCTGGGAAAGACTGGAAGAGAAAGATTCTGGGTAGGGTAAGTTCTTATGGGGCACAAGTAAAGGTAGAAGAGGATTGAGTACTCTTGAGGAGCAATGAAGATGTTCTGTTGAGACTGAATTATGGCTATTTCTATGAGGGTGAAATGGTGTGCAAGGCTAGAAAAAGGAGATTGAGGCTTTATAGAGGGGCCTCAAATGTTATGGTGAAGGATTTGTGGTAGCCATTCAAATGTTTTGAATAGGGTAGCAAAGTTTTCAAAGACAGTATGGCAATGGTGTGAAGGATGGGTTGGAAAGGGGAGAAACTGGTCTAGGGGATTAAGACCCTTTCATAGCAATACTGGTGAGAAGTAGTGAGCACCTGGTTACTGGGAGGTTATCAAGGAGACAGAACAGTGAGATACTGCAGAAGATAAGACTGGTAGACGTTTGGAGAGAGGAGGAGGAGGGGGAATAGAAAGTTTGAAATTGGTAGTCCAAAGGAAAGAGAACATGGCAACTTGATGTCATGAATTTCAGGGTCAGTTACATTTCTGAGGGCCTTAAAAAACTGGCATATGATGAAAGGCATTGACTTTTTCTATTTGAAGGTTACTATCCTGTTTTTAAGGAGAAATTCAGTTGTATTTAAATTTCAAACAGGTTGCTAGAACACATCACGTCCAAGCAGAAAGCTACCTGGTGTACAACATCATGAGCAGTGGAGAGATTGAATGCAGCAACACCCTAGAAGATGAGCTTGACCAGGCCTTACCCAGCCAGGCCTTCATTTACCGTCCCATTCGACAGCGGGTCTACTCACTCTTACTGGAGGACTGTCAAGGTGAGAATTGGTTGGTCCCTCTTAGTAAAGGTTCTATTTGGAGTTGAGTTCTGAGAAACTGGCCAGATGAAATAGAGTGCATTCTTTCAAGACATGGAGACAATTAAATGGGTTTTATATCCCTGTCAAATCTATAATTGAGAATACCACTGACATCTGTAAAAAATTAAGCGTAAGTGCCATTGGACGTCTATATCTAATGAACAGTAAGTTGATGAGTGTGCATTAAAAGAAGAATGCATGATTTCTATAAAATGTCATATTTTTATGCCTTAAAAGGATTTTTGCTTTTTTAAAAAATGTGAGAATTCTTTCCTCCTGTAGGGGAGAGTAGAGTATGCCTATTATTAGAAGAAAACAATGTCTACTTAGTCTTCCCTCAAAATGTGATTTTTATAAAATAATTTTACAAAATCTAGTGATCATGTTTTTAAATACAAACAATTTTCCTTTGGTGTTTTTGTAATTTGTGTTTTTTCTCATCTATATTTCCATTATGTGCTTAGCAACAAGAGTAGAGAGCGGACCATCAAGGACCCAAATAGTGAAAATGAGGAATTTTAACCCCAAGGAGAAAGTTAGTGAAGGTCCCATAACTCACCATTTGGAATAGTTTTGGGGGGAATGAGGAGTGTGGAAGAACACTTCATATCAGAAACCAGAGATGTTGAATGCATTTAGTGCCCTTCTATTTCAGTAAGGCCTTGTTCATTTTAGACAGAGACCTTAGGTACTTTATGGTCTGATTTGAGAATGTGTTGATAAGAAACATGGTCTACACACTATTACCAGGATAAGAGAGAGAAGGAGTAGGATACTGGTGCAGGTGGTCCATTTGCCTAAACATCATTATTTCCAGACATGTCAATATTAACCGTACTCTGTTGTTCCAGAAAGTGAACATTTACATAATCTAAAAGTGGTGATAGAATCATCAGATGGAAAAGTCATCATTATTATTTTTGGATGATGGGGCTCAGGGGTAGTGGGGTTATTTAAATCCAGTTTTTGTTAGATTCCTGTAGCACCACCCAGCATGCACTGCTTTCTCCCATACATACTGCAAGAGTTCACCTCTGTGACCTAAGGAAGCAGACATGAGAAAGATGTTTAAGCTGATTTAAAAACAGAAATAAAGAACCTGTGTAATAAACTCTGGAGCCAAACGATATTTAAATCATTTTTTAAAATTTCTGTTTCTTATGTGCTCTCTACCCGCATTCTTTCTTAACATGGATGTTTGCACATTGACTCTAATGATGGAAAAAAGAGATCTTCCTCATGAAAACATTTTTACATTAAATAATAATATTGGAATTATTTTCAGACTATTTCATTAAACTATATAAATTTCACTAACCTAAATTTCATACTTTGTTAATGTAATATATTTATGACCAAGTGGATAACTTTATTAGATAACCACATAAAAAAACCATTCACATTGAATTTGTCTTCATGGTTGATCTTTAGTTTCTTTCTTTCTCCCTCAACTTTTTGGCTTTCTACATGAAGTTTACATTATTAAGATATGAAAATAAAATGCTGTTTTTGCTGATTTATATATGATGATAATAATGAAGTGTATCCTATGTTATTTGTTTGACTTAGTTTATGATCCCATTTGTAGTTGAAAATGTTGTGTATTTTACAGTTGTTGAGTAGAGTGTTCTGTAAATGTCAGCAGTGTTAATAAGGCTATTCCAAGTCTTTTACTGATTTTCTGTCTACTTGTTCTTAGTTCCCAGGAGAAAACGGTTAAAAATTCCAGCTCTTACTGTGGATTTGTCTATTTATTCCTTCAGTTCTGTCAGTTTTTGCTTTAGGTATTTTGAAACTCTGTTGTTAGGTGCATATACGTTGAGGACTGTTGTGATTCTTAATGAATCGACCCTTTTAACAGGAGAGTTCACTTTTAAAAACATGGTAATACTCCTTGTCCTAAAGTTGTCTTTGTTTTATTGTAATATAGTCACTCCAGTATTCTTACTGTTAATGTTTGCATGGTATGGTATTTTTTCTATCCTTTTAAACTATTTCTTAACATCTAAAGTGCATCTCTTTTAAAAACAGCATGTCCAGTGTCACAGTCTCTCTTTTAATTGGAATGTTCAGACTGAACGTAACTCTTGGCATAATTAGGGCTCACTCTTCCGTTTTGCCTTTTGTTCTTTTTTCCCCACCTTATTTTCTCATTTTCATACTTCTTTTGGATTAGTTTAATAATTTTTAGTATTGTGTTTTATGCACTCATTTGGATTATTAGATTTACCTTTAAAAAAAAAAAAAAAAAGTAGTTGGCCGGGCACGGTAGCTCACGCCTGTAATCCCAGCACTTTGGGAGGCCGAGGCAGGCGGATCACCTGAGGTCAGGAGTTTGAGACCAGCCTGGCCAACATGGTGAAACCCTGTCTCTACTAAAAATACAGATATTAGCTGGGCATGATGGCAGGTGCCTGTAATCCCAGCTACTTGAGAGGCTGAGGCAGGAGAATTGCTTGAGCCCAGGAGACAGAGGTTGCAGTGAGCCAAGGTCACACCATTGCACTCCAGCCTGGGGACAAGATGGGGACAAGAGCGAGACTTCATCTCAAAAAAAAAAAAAAAAAGTGGTTGATCTGGGGGTCTGTTAGATTGGTGCAAAAATAATTGCGGTTTTTGCAATTACTTTTAATATCTTTAACATCACCATTTACTATCAAATAATATACTATGTTACTAGCAATGTAAAAACCTTGTAACTGTGTATTTTCATTCTCCCCAACATTTTTGCTATTGTCGTTTTATGTCTTGTACATATATATATATTTTAAATTTGAAATAATTACGGATTCACAGGAAGTTGCAAGAATAGTACATAGTTTCCCATGTACCCTTCACTCAGATTCCTTCAAAGATGACATCTTATATAACTGTGGTGTAATATCAAAGCCAGAAAGTTAACATCAGGTACAATGCTAACTAAACTGCAGACCTTATTCAGTTGTGCCATTTTTTACATGCATGCATTTATGTGTGTGGGTGTGTAGGTCTGTGCAAAGATCCTGCAGCTACCACCACAGCCAAGATACAGAGCTGGTTTGTTAGCACTCCCTCCATGTGCCCCTGTGTCCTGGCAATCTTTCTTCCCCCCATTCCTGTCCTCTGGCAACTGCGAATCTGTTTTTCATCTCTATGTTCTTGTTCATTTCAGAATGTTACATAAATGGCAGCATACAATATGTAACCTTTGGAGATTATGCATATGTTGTAAACCCTATAATACATGAGGGGTTGGCACACTTTTTCTGTGAAGGGTCAGATAATAATAAATATTGTAGGTTTTGAGGGCTCCTTCCACAGTCCCCGTCACAACTACCCAATCCTGCTGTTGTAGTGCAAGAGCAGCCATAGACAACATGTACATGAATGAATGTGGCTGTGTGCCAGGAAGCCTTTATTCAATTTTCCCATGTGACAGAACTTGAATTTTATTTTATTGATTTATTTATTTTTTAGAGACAGAGTCTCACTCTGTTGCCCAGGCTGGAGTGCAGTGGCACCATCACAGCTCACTGCAGCCTTCAACTCCAAGGCTGAAGGGATCCTCCTACCTCAGCCTCTTGAGTAACTGAGATGACAGGCATGCGCCACCACACCCGGCTAATTTTTAAATATTCTTTTTTTGAAGAGATAGGATCTCGCTATGTTACCTAGGCTGGTCTCAAACTCCTGACCTCAAGATATCCCCCACGTCAGCCTCCCAAAGTGTTGGGATTACAGATGTGAGTTACCGCACCAGGCCAAAACTTGAATTTTTTTTTTTGAGATGGAGTCTTGCTCTGTCGCCCAGGCTGGAGGGCAGTAGCACAATCTTGGCTCACTGCAAGCTCCGCCTCCCGGGTTCACACCATTCTCCTGCCTCAGCCTCCCAAGTACCTGGGACTACAGGCACCCGCCACCATGCCCGGCTAATTTTTTGTATTTTTAGGAGAGACGGGGTTTCACTGTGTTAGCCAGGATGATCTCGATCTCCTGACCTTGTGATCCGCCCACCTCGGCCTCCCAAAGTGCTGGGATTACAGGCGTGAGCCACCGCGCCCGGCCAACTTGAATTTTATAGAGTATAATTTTCAGGAGTCACAAAATATTCTTAAAAACATTTTTTTCCAACCATTAAAAAAATATGAAAACATTATTAGTTTTCAGACTGTAAAAAAGCAGGCAGATTTGACCCATGAGCTGGTAGTTTGCCAATTTCCACTTTAAATTATAGGCTTTATACACACTGCACACGGAGGCTGCTCCGGTGAGTCCATGAGTGAGTGGGGAGTGAGTGGGAAGACCAGGATATGACCATGCTGCTGTAGGCTTTATACACACTGCACACGCAGGCTGCTCCGGTGAGTCCATGAGTGAGTGGAGAGTGAGTGGGAAGGCCAGGACATGACCATACACCGCTGTAGGCTTTATACACACTGCACATGCAGGCTGCTCCGGTGAGTCCATGAGTGAATGAAGAGTCAGTGGGAAGGCCAGGACACGACCGTATACTGCTGTAGGCTTTATACACACTGCACACGCAGGCTGCTCCGGTGAGTCCATGAGTGAGTGAAGAGTCAGTGGGAAGGCCAGGACATGACCGTGTTGCTGTAGGCTTTACACACACTGCACACGCAGGCTGCTCTGGTGACTCCGGTGAGCGAGTGGGAAGTGAATGGGAAGGCCAGGACATGACCATACACTGCTGTAGGTTTTATACATACTGCACATTTAGGGCTATAATACATTCAAAAAATATTTCTTTCCTCAACAATAAATTAACCTTAACTTACTGTAACTTTTTTACTTTATAAACTTTTAAATTTATTTAACTTTTTGACTCTTGTAATTAACACCTAACTTAAAATACAAACACATTATACAACTGGACAAAAAATTCTTTCTTTATATCATTCTATAAGCCTTTTTCTATTAGAAAAATTTTTAACTCTACTTCCTGAATTCATACTTTAGAAACTTTTAATTTTTTTAAACTTCTTTGTTAAAAGCTCAGACACAAGCACGCACATTAGTCTAGGACTCCACGGGGTCAGGATCATCAAGGCTTCACCAGAAATGTGTGTGCAGTCCATCACTAACCAAATCATGGTTTATGCAGTACAGGACTGTATTTCATCTTTCTTTGGGGGGGTATAGTTTTGCTGCATATAGAATTTTAGGTCGTTCTGTATTTTCTCCTGGCATGTGTAGTTTCTGATGAGACAGCAAGGCTCATCTTTATCGTTGTTCCCCATGTGTTACGTGGCTTTTCTCCTCTAGCTGTCTTTGCAATTCCTCTCCTGTTTGCTGGATTTTGAGTAAGGTTCACTCCTGCCCCCTTCATGGGATTCTTGAGCTTCCTAAATCTATGGGTTTATATTTCCTATCAAATTTGGAAGAAATGAGCGTTTTTTTAAATAAGATTTTGTCTTTCTCAATCTCTTTTGCCTCTTCCTCTGGGCCATTTGTTGACTTCCTCCTACAGGGTCCACATAGTTTTGCTTATTCTCATGTCTAGCGTTTTTTGATTATATGCCAGAACATTTTGGATACTAAAAAGAGTGTAGAGTTTAGTTCTGTCAGACAGTTACTCTACCTGCTCCTTCCGAGACTTGCCTTTAAACTTCATTAGGCTGTGTCCATTGTGGCTTTTACTTTACAGCTAGCACAGCCCTACTCCTAAGGCAGGGCCTTCCAGGCTATCACCAGAGTGCCCAAGGTGTAGGACGAGGTCTCTTCATGTTTGCTGGTGGTGGAAGCTCCACTGTCTTCAAGCCCAGTGCAAGCTCCATTGGTTGGCCAGCCCCAGGACCTTGCCTGGCTTCTCTGAGTCTTACCCTATATCCTGATAGCTCTCTCTTCAGCCAGAGTCTAAAGGGCACTTGCCATCTGCACACTGCCCTGCTCTCTGGTGCTGTGTCCTGCAGATGGTGGCCTCAATAGTCTTGATCTCCAGTCTCTGTCTCCTCATCTGAGGAACTACCTCCCTCACTAGGATACAGTCTGGACAGTGCCTGTGGGCACAAAATTGGCGTGATAGAGAGTTGTTTCCCTTCTGTCTGGGATAACAATCTGGCACTGCCCATTGTCCGTCACATGAATGCAGTTGCTAGAACCATTTCTTCAGTTCTAGTGTTGATGGTAGGAAGGCTGGTCAGTGGCTCTGCCCTTTCACAAACGACCACCCCCACTGTCCCCTGCTCAGTGGCTCTGCTCGATCACAGTCACCCCCGCGGTCCTGTGGCATCACAGGTGCTGATAATGCCAGCTGCAAAGTCGAGTGCTGGAGTGATTCATGTTCCTTTTTTACCGACTTTTTTTTTTTTCTTAGAAGGTTTTGAGGTGTTCTCTTTATCCTGTGATTAGCGAATCTCTGTTGTCTCAGTTCTCTCCTGGAAGTGCTGTGAAATGCAGGTGGGGCTTCCTGGACTGATACTCTCTTTCTTCATCTTTTGATTCCTGTTTTTGTGTTTTTGTGCTACATTAAGGGGACATCTCTCCACTTCATTTCTCAGCTCTTTTATAGAAGTGTCCACTCTTCTTCTCTTCATCAAGGCCTGCTTCCCCCAGCCCTGGACCAAGCCCACTGCCTCTTTCTGCCCCGCATCGAAGCCCTCTGCCCAACTTGAGCAGCTGTCTGACTGATGATCACCTTTGTGCTGGGATATCTGGCATCTAGGGACACCACCTCTTCTTCCCTTCCCCCTTAAGCACCTGTTCTCTGCTGACCTCCTCCCTTCAGAGTTCCTCAGTTACACCCACTGTCTTCTTTACCTGGTCTTGCTTTAAAAAACTGTATCCATGTTGACTGTCCAATTCCAGCAGTTTTCTTTAAGTGTTTTCTGGAACAGTGTGAGGGAGGTAGGGAGGAAAGACATCGTAGGAGTCATTAACATGGTAAACTCTCTCTCCCATATTATTGTTTACTTACCCAGATTATCCTGAGGATTTTGTCGGTTCCACAGGGTATGGTTCTTGATGGAATGAACAGATTACCCTCAGATTGGAGGATAAGAAATTAATTGTTGGATAACTTAAGGTTACTCAGTCACCTTGGATTTGAGAGCTCACCTTTGAATTGGCCACCTGGGCAGAGCTGGGTCTGTGACACTGTGAGCCTGGCGATGCATGCCCTCATGCATCTACTGACCCAACTCTTTTTCTTCAGATGTCACCAGCACCTGCCTAGCTGTCAAGGAGTGGTTTGTGTATCCTGGGAACCCACTGAGGCACCCGGACCTCGTCAGGCCGCTGCAGATGACCATTCCAGGTACAGGCAGCCTTTCTTTAAATGAACCACAGATCTTTCCATTCTATGATAAAAGTCTAAGAATGCATCAGTTATGGAAAGCATCTTTTACCAGAATTGCACAAATACTAGTTTTTATTTAAACCCTTGGCTCATGATTAATGTATCCATCTAACAAAGTCCCAAAATAATGGAAGGATGATGCTGTGGCAGGTTTACCCTGGACCATCTGCGGCGGTGCTCTGCCTCTTTCTCCATCCACCCTGGTCCAGGTCCACAGCAGTGGAGAGAGAAAAGAGACAGAAGGATGGCCGTGGTCAGCGCATGTTGCTGCCGCAGCCCCAGTGCCTGATGTCTAGTTGTTGCTTGGTAGACGTCCAGAGTTTAACAGGATAGATTCTTGATATTCTGCTTGAATCAACAATCTTACCTTCTCCCCACCACTGAAAGCATATTTTGATGAGTTCTGGCACCAGAAAGAGAAGATAAAGGAGGGTTATTTCCACTGGAAAAAAGGTTATATTTTCATGAGCAATATCTTAAAGCTTAATGAGAGGTAAGGAAAAACAAAGTTCACCTGCAGATTAGCTGAAGTATATCCAAAGAGCAGCCTTTCTTTCTGTGAGTTCGTAGTATCTGAAACAGGTCAGGAATGTACAAGTGTCAGGGTAGGGTTCTACACACAAACAGTTAAGGAAGAGGAGGCTAAGCTTCAGAGTTTATTTTTAGTGGCTCATGTCATTGTTTCACCGAACAAATATTTTCCTACAGTTTTGCTATTCCATTTTCATATGCATTAAATTCTCTGGTTTCGCTACTATTTTCCATGACATGAACGTGTAATTTACCAAGTACAGATCTGAGCACTATAATTGGTTTTTAAATAAATGGAATTGTATTGAGAGAGAAGTTGAGAAAAGCTATTGTAGGGAGTGTTTCCTTATTCTGTTAATCATACACTAAAACCTTAAAAGTACTTACCAGAGAAACATAATTAGAATGCATTGACATTTGTTTTTGCAGTAAGGAGCATTTTTTTAAAGGATAGCCAAAATAATTTTCCAAAAATGTTTTATTATATATGTATTTTCATCTTATAGTATCTTTCCAAATATAATATGGAAAATGACTATTACATCTCTTTTCATTGTTTGAATTAAAGAGAACATTTGACTGTTCGTCATTGTGTCAAGAGTTAATTTTAAAGGCCACTCTATATAATGTTTTAATAAATTCCAGAAATTGTATAAGTATTAGAGAGACTACTTCAGAGCTTGTGAAAACATCCTCTGTTGCACTCCTAGAGTGGGAAAGCGTGTGTATAGCACCTTGGACCACACATTGGGTTCTCTTCTGGAAGGAGCTCCGGAAGCCTGTGCCCTACATGGAGGGCCACGTCTCAAACACACTCATTTTCACAGCTATTATTCTAGACATAGGATTTGAACTTTTATACGGAGGGCCACGTCTCAGACACATTCATTTCCACAGCTATTGCTCTAGAAATTGGATTTGAATTTTTATATGGAGGGCCACGTCTTAAACACACTCATTTCCACAGCTATTACTCCAGACATAGGATTTGAACTTTTACACGGAGGGCCACATCTCAAACACACTCATTTCCACAGCTGTTACTCTAGAAATTGGATTTGAATTTTTTATTCCAGATTATTTCAATGGGTGACTCCTTATTTACACTTGCACTAATGCAATATCATCAATAATGATGATAATTCAAAAGACAAGATTTTAAATTTTAAGTGCTTTTCCGTATCTATGAGGAATATTGCCAAATGATTTTAGACAAAAATGGAAAACAGAACATCCAATTGCCTGTCAAGTATTCACATGAATACAACATACGATTAAAAACAGATCAGCTGGGTGGGGTTGGGGGGCTCACGCCTGTAATCCCAGCACTTTGGGAGGCCGTGGCAGATGGGTCACCTGAGATCAGGAGTTTGACACCCGCCTGGCTAACATGGTGAAACCTTGTCTCTACTAAAAATACAAAAATTAGCTGGGTGTGGTGGCAGACACCTGTAGTCTCAGCTACTCAGGAGGCTGAGGCAGGAGAATTGCTGGAACCCTGGAGGCGGAGGTTGCAGTGAGCCGAGATCACGCCATTGCACTCCAGCCTGGGCGACAACAGCAAGACTCCATCTCAAAAAAAAAAAGTGAGATCCTGCCGATGGGCCCTTCCTGTCCACCTGTCAGGAAAACCTGCAAAAGGTTCTTGTCGCACCATTAGAGCCAGTTTTTCCCAAATGACACCCATACCTGATTTTCCTTGTTCTTCTAAGACAGTTTTAATTAGGATAATCTCATAAGTGCTACATTTTCAGTGAATTTTTCAATATAGTGGCCCATGTTCTTTCTTTTTTTTTAAAGTCTTTTTCCTCTGGTAGCACATGTGATTTAATGCTTGCTTTCCTGAATTGTAGAAATAAAAGGAAATCACAAGTATTTTCCAACAAAGTGGAACTGAGGCCGAAGGGTGCAGAAAAAAACTATAGAAATTAGTTAAAAATTAGGAAGGGGAAATAATCAAAATTAACGAGCCAGGGAGCAGAAAAAGAAATCTCATTCCTGGGTGCTATGGTTTGAATGTTTGTACCCCCACCCCACCGCCCCCCCGCCCCCCGCAATTCCTGTATTGAAAACCTAATCACTAATGTGATGGTATTGGGAGGTGGGGCCTTTGGGAGGGAAAGAGGTGATTAGATGGGATTCCTGCCCTTATAAAAGAGGCCCCTTCTTCCGTGTGAAGGTGCCAATGTGCCATCTGTGAACCAGGAAGCGGGGCCTCACCAGAAGCCAACCATGCTGGCACCTTGATCTTGGGCTTCCAGCCTCCAGAAATTTTCTGCTGTTAAAAGCTACCTAATTTATGGTGTTTTGCCATAGCATCTCAGATGGACCAAGACACTGGTTTGTTTTATTCAGGGAGCTTATTTACATGCATATATTTCTGTGAGCCTCATCTTTTTTTTTTTTTTTTTTGAGACAGAGTCTCACTCTGTCGCCCAGGCTGGAATGCAGTGGCACAATCTTAGCTCACTGCAACCTCCGCCTCCTGAGTAGCTGGGACTACAGGCACATGCCACCACACCCAACTAATTTTTGTATTTTTAGTAGAGTCTGGGTTTCGCCTTGTTGGCCAGGCTGGTCTCAAACTCCTGGCCGCAAATGATCCTTCCGCTTCTGCCTCCCAAAGTGCTGGGATTACAGGCGTCAGCCACTGCCCAGCGTATGGGCCCCATCTTTACGTGTGTGCATGTGGGAGCATGTATATAGGATATATATACTACATTTCATTTCTTTTACAATATATCATGGAAGATGATGTTTCTGATAACACAGTTTAGCTTCCATTTCCCAAACCCAGCTCGTAAAGGTCCTTGATGTGTGCATGTGTGTCTACCCTTTCCCAGCACACTGCCTGCTCTCACTCCCTTACTAACTTTCCTGACGTTCTCCATTCTGTGGCTGGGAGTCTTGGCCCACACCAAAGGCAAGCATTTGAAATTGCCTTTTCAGTCTCCAGAATTGGAGATTTGTCAATTCTTCATTTTCAAAGTGCTGGTGGCTTTTTTTCTCTTCTAAGTGTTGTTTTTTTAAGTTACTTTAAGCATATCCTTATTTTAGAAACCTAGGAAAACTAATGCACACATCTCATTGGTAATTTGTCTATCTTGAAGAACCTTTTTAAAGTGGTGTTCAACAATCAGAAAGCTTAGTATTTCTTGGCTATACACATTTGATTTACCAAAATTGCAGAATATCTTAGAAGACTATTTTACAAAACGAAATGAGGGTAAGTCATACATTTCATGAAAAAAGGACCATGTATTTGATTCAATCTGTCATTTGCTATCAAACAGTTGTAGTGGCTTTCTTGTTCACCTCCTCTTACATACACTGTTGAAGGTTTTCATCTGATCCTTGTTGCAAGGTCAGTCAAGAAAGTGCTCAACAAGTCTTGGAGGTTTCTGTGAGTGGTAAAAGGAAGCTGGTGTGTGTGTGTGTGTGTGTGTGTGTGCACATGCCCTTAAGGAAGCTGGGTGTGTGTGTGCCTGCCCTTGGTGAGGCTCTGCTCATGTGGCTGCCAGTGTCTGAAACTGCCCCGACCATTGCAGATCAACATAAATTGGTTAAAATCTCAAAAGCAGTTTTTCACCAACTTGTAAAAAATAGTGTGAAGCTTTGTCAAATGTGTTAACAAATTCACATTAGAGTCACAAGGGTTAAATTTTGCATTACTACTTTTTATAGCCACTTTCACTGTTGAATGCATTAGATGGGAGTGGTGTAATGATGTAATTTTTGCAAGCATGAAATTAGAAAACTTATCCATGTAAGTATAGAGTTTGATGTATTGAGATGTAAATGTATTCTGTTTTGTTTATATATGAATGAATTTTTTTGCTTATTATAAATAGGCTTTTGAATTTTGTTCATCTAAAGATTCACTTTGCATGTGCGTAGTCAGGGTTTTTTGAGTTTTTTTTTTGTTTTTTTTTTTAATGTAAGTTCTGGGATACATGTGCAGAACTTGCAGGATTGTTACAGAGGTATACATGTGCCATTGTGGTTTGTTGCACCTATCAACCCGTCATCTAGGTTTTAAGCCCCACATGCATTAGGTATTTGTCCTAATGCTGCCCCTCCCCTTGCCCCCAACCCCCCAACAGGACCCAGTGTGTGATGTTCCCCTCCCTGTGTCCGTGTGCTCTCATTGTTCAACTCCCACTTATGAGTGAGAACATGCGGTGTTTGGTTTTCTATTCTTGTGTTAGTTTGCTGAGAATTATGGTTTCCAGCTTCATCCATGTCCCTGCAAAGGACATGAACTCATTCTTTTTTATGGCTGCATAGTATTCCATGGTGTGTGTATGCCACATTTTCTTTATGCAGTCTATCATTGATGGGCATTTGGATTGGTTCCAAGCCTTGCTATTGTAAATAGTACTGCAGTAAACATACGTGTGCATGTGTCTTTATAGTAGAAAGATTTATACCTTTGGGTATATACCTAGTAATGGGATTGCTGGGTCAGATGGTATTTCTGGTTCTAGACCCTTGAGGAATTGCTACACTGTCTTCCACAATGGTTGAACTAATTTACAGTCCCATCAGCAGTGTAAAAGCATTCCTATTTCACCACATCCTCGCCAGCATAGTTGTTTCCTGACTTTTTAATGATCACCATTCTGACTGGCATGAAATGGTATCTCATTGTGGTTTTAATTTGCATTTCTCTAATGACCAGTGATGATGAGCTTTTTTCTTCATATGTTTGTTGGCTGCATAAATGTCTTCTTTTGAGAAGTGTCTGTTCATATCCTTCATCCACTTTTTGATGGGGTTGTTTTTTTCTTGAAATTTAAGTTCCTTGTAGATTCTGGATATTAGCCCTTTGTCAGAAGGATAGATTGCAAAAATTTTCCCCCATTCTGTAGGTTGCCTGTTCACTCTGATGATAGTTTCTTTTGCAGTGCAGAAGCTCTTCAGTTTAATTAGATCCCATTTGTCAATTTTGGCTTTTGTCACAATTGCTTTTGGTGTTTTAGTCATGAAGTCTTTGCCCATGCCTATGTCCTGAATGGTATTGTCTAGGTTTTCTTCTAGGGTTTTTATGGTTTTAGGTTTTACGTTTAAGTATTTAATCCATCTTGAGTTAATTTTTGTATAAGGTATAAGGAAGGGGTCCAGCTTCTGTTTTCTGCTTATGGCTAGCCAGTTTTCACAGCACCATTTATTAAACAGGGAATCTTTTCCCTGTTGCTTGTTTTTGTCAGGTTTGTCAAAGATCAGATGGTTGTAGATGTGTGGTGTTATTTCTGAGGCCTTTGGTCTATATATCTGTTTTGGTACCAGTACCACGCTGTTTTGGTTACTGTAGCCTTGTAGTATAGTTTGAAGTCAGGTAGCGTGATGGCTCCAGCTTTGTTCTTTTTGCTTACGGTTGTCTTGGCTATACGGGCTTTTTGGTTCCATATGAAATTTAAAGTAGTTTTTTCTAATTCTATGAAGAAAGTCAATGTTAGCTTGGTGGGAATAGCATTGAATCTATAAATTACTTTGGGCAGTATGGCCATTTTCATGATATTAATTCTTCCTATCCATGAGCATGGAATGTTTTTCCATTTGTTTGTGTCCTCTCTTATTTCCTTGAGCAGTGGTTTGTAGTTCTCCTTGAAGAGGTCCTTCACGTCATTTGTAAGTTGTATTCCTAGGTATTTTATTCTCTGTGTAGCAATTGTGAATGGGAGTTCACTCATGATTTGGCTGTCTGCTTGTCTATTATTGGTGTATAGGAATGCTTGTGATTTTTGCACATTGATTTTTGTATGCTGAGACTTTGCTGAAGTTGCTTATCACCTTAAGGAGTTTTTGGGCTGAGACAATGGGGTTTTCTAAATATACAATCACGTCATCTGCAAACAGAGACAATTTGATTTTCTCTCTTCCTATTTGAATACTTTTTATTTCTTTTTCTTGCCTGATTGCCCTGGACAGAACTTCCAATACTGTGTTGAATAGGAGTGGTGAGAGAGGGCATCCTTGTCTTGTGCCGGTTTTCAAAGGGAATGTTTCCAGCTTTTGCCCATTCTGTATGATATTGGCTTTGGGTTTGTCATAAATAGCTCTTGTTATTTTGAGATATCTTCCGTCAATACCTAGTTACTGGGAGTTTTTAGCATGAAGGGCTGTTGAATTTTATCGAAGGCCTTTTCTGCATCTATTGAGATAAACGTGATTTTTGTCATTGGTTCATTTATGTGATTGATTACGCTTATTAATTTGCATATATTGAACCAGGCTTGGCATCCCAGGGATGAAGCCGACCTGATCGTGGTGGATAAATTTTTTGATGTGCTGCTGGATTTGGTTTGCCATTATTTTATTGAGGATTTTCGCATCGATGTTCATCAGAGATATTAGCCTGAAATTTTCTTTTTTTGTTGTGTCTCTGCCAGTTTTGGTATCAGGATGATGCTGACCTCATAAAATGAGTTAGGGAAAAGTCCCTTGTTTTCTATTGTTTGGAATAGTTTCAGAAGGAATGGTACCAACTCCTCTTTGTACCTCTGGTAGAATTCGACTGTGAATCCGTCTGGTCCTGGGCTTTTTTTTGGTTGCTAGGCTATTAATTATTGTGTCAATTTCAGAACCTATTATTGGTCCGTTCAGGGATTCAGCTTCTTCCTGGTTTAGTCTTGGAAGGTGTATGTGTCCAGGAATTTATCCATTTCTTCTAGATTTTCTAGTTTATTTGGGTAGAGGTGTTTATAGTATTCTCTGATGGTAGTTTGTGTTTCTGTGCGATCAGTGGTGATATCCCCTTTATCATTTTTATTGTGTCTGTTTGATTATTCTCTGTTTTCTTATTAGTCTGACTAGCAGTCTATCTATTTTGTTAATCTTTTCAAAAAAAAACCCAGCTCCTGGATTCATTGATTTTTTTGAAGGGTTTTTCATGTCTCTATCTCCTTCAGTTCTGCTCTGATCTTAGTTATTTCTTGTCTTCTGCTAGCTTTTGAATTTGTTTGCTCTTGCTTCTCTAGTTCTTTTAATTGTGATGTTAGGGTGTCAATTTCATATCTTTCCTGCTTTCTGATGTGGGCATTTAGTGCTAGAAATTTCCATCTTAACACTGCTTTAGCTGTGTCCTAGAGATTCTGGTACGTTGTCTCTTTGTTCTCATTGGTTTCAAATAACTTCTTCATTTCTGCCTTAATTTTGTTATTTACCCAGTAGTCATTCAGGAGCAGGCTGCTCGGTTTCCATGTAGTTGTGCAGTTTTAAGTGAGTTTCTTAATCCTGAGCTCTAATTTGATTGCACTGTGGTCTGAGAGACTGTTTGTTATGATTTCTGTTCTTTTGCATTTGCTGAGGTGCGTTTTACTTCCATTTATGTGGTTGATTTTAGAATAAGTGCTGTCTGGTGCTGAGAAGAATGTATATTCTGTTGATTTGGGTTGGAGAGTTCTGTAGATGTCTCTTAGGTCTACTTGGTCCAGAGTTGAGTTCAGAATATCCTTGTTAATTTTTGTCTCGTTGATCTAATATTGACAATGGGGTGTTAAAGTCTCCCACTATTACTGTGTGGGAGTCTAAGTCTCTTTGTAGGTCTGTAAGAGCTTGTTTTATGAATCTGGGTGATCCTGTATTGGGTGCATATATATTTAGGATAGCTACCTCTTCTTGTTGCATTGATCCCTTTACCATTATGTAATACCGCTTTGTCTTTTTTGATCTTTGTTGGATTAAAGTGTGTAGTATTAGAGACTAGCATTGCAACCTGCTTTTTTTTTTTTTTTTTTTTGCTTTCCATTTGGTAAATATTCCGCCATCCCTTTATTTTAAGCCTATGTGTGTCTTTGCACATGAAATGGGTCTCCTGAATACAGCACACCAATAGGTCTTGACTCGTTATCCAAATTGCCAGTCTGTGTCTTTTAATTGGGGCATTTTGCCCATTTACATTTAAGGTTAATATTGTTATGTGTCATCATGATGCTAGCTGGTTATTTTGCACATTAGTTGATGCAGTTTCTTCATAGTGTCAATGGTCTTTATTTTTTGGTGTGTTTTTGCAGTGGCTGGTACCAGTTTTTTCTTTCCTTATTTAGTGCTTCCTTCAGGAGCTCTTGTAAGGCAGGCCTGGTGGTAACAAAATCCCTCAGCATTTGCTTGTCTGTAAAGGATTTTATTTCTCCTTTACTTGTGAAACTTATTTGGCTGGATATGAAATTCTGAGTTGATTTGCAGAAGAATTTTCTTTATAAAATTGAAGTTTTAAGGGATGTCAGTGTTTTTGCCATTTTTCCAGTTCCAAAATGATTCCATTCCATTCTAGAAATTTGAAGTATGTAACTTGAAATCCTTAATAAAATTTGGATTCAATTTAAAAAAAAAAGAGGGAAAGAAATTCTGAGTTGAAAATTCTTTTCTTTAAGAATGTCGGGGCCAGGCGGGGTGGCTCATGCCTGTAATCCCAGCACTTTGGGAGGCCGGATCATGAAGTTGGGAGATTGAGACCATCCTGGCTAATATGGTGAAACCTTGTCTCTACTAAAAATACAAAAAAGTAGCCAGGCATTGTGGCACGCACCTGTAATCCCAGCTACTTGGGAGGCTGAGGCAGGAGAATCACTTGAGCCTGGGAGGCAGAGGTTGCAGTGAGCTGAGATCATGCCACTGCACTCCAGCCTGGATGACAGAGCGAGACTCCATCTCAAAAAAAAAAAAAAAAAAAGAATGTTGGACATTGGCCCCCCACTCTTTTGCGGCTTGTAGGGTTTCTGCAGAGAGATCTGCTGTTAGTCTGATGGGCTTCCCTTTGTAGGTAACCTGACCTTTCTCTCTGGCTGCCCTTAACATTTTTTCCTTCATTTCAACCTTGGAGAATCTGACAATTAGGTGTCTTAGGGTTGCTCTTCTCAAGGAGTATCTTATTGGTATTCTCTGTATTTACTGAATTTGAATGTTGGTCTATCTTGTTAGGTTGGGGAAGTTCTCCTGGATAATATCCTAAAGTGTGTTTTCCAACCTGGTTCCATTCTCCCCATCTCTTTCCGGTACACCAGTCCATCGTAGGTTTGGTCTTTTCACATAGTCCCATATTTCTTGGAGGCTTTGTTCGTTCCTTTTCATTCTTTTTTCTCTAATCTTGTCGTCATGCCTTATTTCAATATGTTGATCTTCAATCTGTGATATCCTTTCTAACACTTGATTGATTTGGCTATTGATACTTGTGTGTGCTTCACGAAGTTCTCGTGCTGTGTTTTTCAGCTCCATCGGGTTATTTATGTTCTTCTCTGAACTGGTTATTCCAGTTAGCAGTTCCTGTAAGTGTTTATCAAGGTTCTTAGCTTCCTTGCATTGGGTTAGAACATGCTCCTTTAGCTCAGAGGAGTTTGTTATTACCCATCTTCTGAAGCCTAGTTCTGTCAGTTCATGAAACTCATTCTCTCTGTCCAGTTTTGTGCCCTTGCTGGAGAGGAGTTGCGATCATTTAGAGAAGAGGCATTCTGGTTTTTGTAATTTTCAGCATTTTTGCGCTGGTTTTTCCTCATCTTCGTGGATTCATCTATCTTTGATCTATAAGGCTGATGACCTTTGGATGGGGTTTTTGTGTAGGTGTCCTTTTTGTTAATGTTGATGCTGTTACTTTGTTTGTTAGTTTTTCTTCCAACTGGCCTCTCTTCTGCAGGTCTGCTGCAGTTTGCTGGAGGTCCACTCTATACCCTGTTTGCCTGGTATCACCAGCGGAGGCTGCAGAACAGCAAATATTGCTGCCTGCTCCTTCCTGTGGAAGCTTCCTCCTAAAGGGGCACTGACCAGATGCCAGCCAGAGCTCTCCTGTATGAGGTGTCTGTCAACCCCTGCTGGGAGGTCTCTCCCAGTCAGGAGGCACGGGGATGAGGGACCCATTGAGGAAGCAGTCTGTCCCTCAGCAGAGCTGGAGTGCTGTGCTGGGAGAAACCTCCTTGCCAGGATCCGCTGCTGCTCTCTGCAGAGCCGTCAGGCAGGAACGTTTAAGTCCACTGAAGCTGCACCCACAGCAGCCCCCTTCCCCCAGGTGCTCTGTCCCAGGGAGATGGGAGTTTTATCTATAAGCCCCTGACTGGGGCTGCTGCCTTTCAGAGATGCCCTACCCAGTGAGGAGGAATCTAGAGAGGTAGTCTGGCCACAACCACTTTGCCGCACTGTGGTGAGTTCCGCCCAGTCCAAACTTCCTGGCCTCCCAGCACTGTTGGGAAAACCGCCTACCAATCCTCAGTAATGGCAGACGCCCCTCCCCCCACCAAGCTCGATCGTCCCAGGTCGACTTCAGACTGCTGTGCTGGCAGTGAGAATTTCAAGCCAGTGGTCCTTAGCTTGCTGGGCTCCATGAGAATGGGACCCGCTGAGTGAGACCACTTGGCTCCCTGGCTTCAGCCCCCTTTCCAGGGGAGTGACAGTTCTGTCTCGCAGGGATTCCAGGCACTACTGGGGTACAAAAAAAAACTCCTGCAGCTAGCTCGGTGTCTGCCCAAACAGCTGCCCAGTTTTGTGCTTGAAACCCAGGGCCCTGGTGGTGTAGACACACAAGGGAATCTTCTGATCTGCGGATTGCAAAAACTGTGGGAAAAGCATAGTATCTGGGCTGGATAGCACCATCCCTCATGGCTTCCCTTGGCTGGGGGAGAGCAGTCCCCAGCTCCTTGCACTTCCTGGGTGAGGCAACACCCCACCCTGCTTCTGGTCACCCTCCATGGGCTGAACCAATGCCTAACCAGTCCCATTGAGATGAACCAGGTACCTCAGTTGGAAATGCAGAAATCACCAGCCTTCTGCGTTGGAATTGCTGGGAGCTGCAGACCAGAGCTGTTCTTACTTGGCCATCTTGCCAGATCTCCAGTATTTTCAGTTCATGGATTGATTACGATCATAGCCATGACATGATCACAAGGTCCCACAATAGGCCGTCTGCAGGCTGAGGAGCAAGGAGAGCCAGTCCAAGTCCCAAAACTGAAGACCTTGGAGTCCAGTGTTTGAGGGCAGGAAGCATCCAGCATGGGAGAAGGATGTAGGCTGGGAGGCCAAGCCCGTGTCTCCAGTTTTCTGAGTTTTTTTGGTTTGGTTGTTTTTTGTTTTTTGTTTTTTTTCCTTTTGGCCAGGAATGATCTACCAACAGATAATGCTAAATAAATACTCACTTAAATTGAACTTGTGAATTTAAGCTTTCACAAATGATCTGAGCTAAAAGATATATGCAAGTTAATTCTAGGAGTTTCACTTCTTACATCCTGAGAATAGACACAAGCCAGGCAGTTTTACGTTTTTATTAACCCTAGGAATATGTAAGGAAAATAACCTTAAAATAACTCAAAAACCTACCTATTAAAAAACTTATTTCCATGTAAAAAGCACATGTAAGTGCCATGGCTTAGCGTCCAGCATGCCTTTCACTCTTCTGTGTTTGTAGCTGTGGAAACAGCAATGGGGCACTCAGGAGGTGCGTTCACAACTCTCCCCCAGGGGCCAAGTCCTCCAGACACCTCTCAGGACAGCCTTCAGAGCTTCCCACCATAGAACTGCCTCCTTTGCCTGCGCTTCTGCATGGCCCCCTGGGGCTCGGTCCCTCCTGAAAAGACCCTGAGGCTGTCCTGTCCATCTGTTCACACAAAACCTTTTACCAAATTGTGTACCGGGGTTTTTGAAGCTGATGCGTTTTAGAAGTGATGCTGGTGGGTGACCTGGGGACCAGATTGCTTGTTTTGTCTCTAAGTTCTTGTTGGAAACATCTCAGCTGCCCATGAGGCTCTGGGTGAAACATGAGGGCCACCTTCGATCTTTATTGGCAAAGTCTTATCTTTATTCAAGACCTAGATGACTGGATGGGTGTGGATGGAGTCCTCTTACACACCAGATAAAGTTTGAGTTGCCCTCCCCTGAGTTGGTCTGCCTTCCAATTCTGATGCAAGTACATTTCCTTTAAACTGAAATTACTTATTAACAATTCTCTTGCATCGCAACCCTCCTGAGTTATCACACCTGAGTTAGCCATTCTTTTTAGAGAGTGTACCACTAGAAGAGAAGTGATCTAAATGATCCTCCAAAAACATCCACACCCTCCCCTGGATAAGATGATTCCTGGAAACCTGTCAGCTAAGAAATAAACCTGTGTATGGCTAGGAGGAGCTAACATTTTACCGCATTTATGAAAAGAAGTAACTTTGTAATTAAAGCCTTTTTGTAGAGTGGTCAGAGGACTTCCACATATTCTGAGGATGTTCCGTTGTGGTAGTAGCATTAAAAGACAAAAACCTTGGAGTATATTATCTTCCATTAAATACCTGCAAGTTCTGGAGAGAGCTATGGAGGTATCTTATCTCCTAAATTAGTATTCACATAGGCATTCAATAAATATTTCTTGGCAAAATATTGATTGAATTTAGGATGAAAATTTTTTATATTAAAAAGATTTATCAGGACATTTTTCCTACTCTGGTGATTTTCTATAATCTATTATATCATTAGAACTCCTCAAGAGCCAATTCCTTTATTGTTGGTGAGTTACTTGTTTTCTGTGTGTAAATGATTTTGTAGCCTTTTTGTTGAAACTCAGCAGCTGAATCACCTGGCTGGTGTGTTAAAACACAAATTGCTGGGCCCTACCCCTAGAATTTCTAATTGAGTAAGTCTAGGGTGGGACTGAAGAATTTGCATTTCTGAGTTCCCAGATGATACTAAGGCTGTTGGTCTAATAAAAGATGTGGGAGAGAGAAAAATAAAACCTGTTGATTCCATAAGTTGTTTACCAGCTTTGTTCACTAGTATGTCACTTACGTGTCACGGCCTCTGAAGACTGAGAACCGATGAAATCGTTCAGTCCATTTGCTGGCACTGTTGCCTGCGGTGCTAGCCTCTCTCTGGTTCCTGAGCAGCCCCACCTTGGAAGAACGGATGAAATCGTTCAGTCCATTCACCTGCACCGTTGCCTGCGGTGCTAGCCTCTCACTGGTTCCTGAGCAGCCCCACCTTGGAAGAACGGATGAAATCGTTCAGTCCATTCACCTGCACCGTTGCCTGCGGTGCTAGCCTCTCACTCGTTCCTGAGCAGCCCCACCTTGGAAGAACGGATGAAATCGTTCAGTCCATTCACCTGCACCGTTGCCTGCGGTGCTAGCCTCTCTCTGGTTCCTGAGCAGCCCCACCTTGGAAGAACGGATGAAATCGTTCAGTCCATTCACCTGCACCGTTGCCTGCGGTGCTAGCCTCTCACTGGTTCCTGAGTAGACCCACCTTGGAAGAACGGATGAAATCGTTCAGTCCATTCACCTGCACCGTTGCCTGCGGTGCTAGCCTCTCTCTGGTTCCTGAGCAGCCCCACCTTGGAAGAACGGATGAAATCGTTCAGTCCATTCACCTGCACCGTTGCCTGCGGTGCTAGCCTCTCACTGGTTCCTGAGCAGCCCCACCTTGGAAGAACGGATGAAATCGTTCAGTCCATTCACCTGCACCGTTGCCTGCGGTGCTAGCCTCTCTCTGGTTCCTGAGCAGCCCCACCTTGGAATCCCACTGTCTATTGCAGTGGATGTCCCCGCCACCACCTGGGCAAGTCCGTAGATCTGGAGTCCCAGTCACCTCAGCATGCTTCCCCTAATCGTTGCGTGGATCCATTCCCTCACCTCTTTGCCTGCCTCTTGTTTTTCCCTTTACATTCCCCCAGTCAGCTTCCCACTGCTGCCAGAGTCCTCCTGCATAGCAGACTTGATGCTGGTCTTCCTTAGGGCTTCCCTCCAGTGTGCTCCTATTGCACTTGGGACATTTCCCTTCCCTGAACTTCCCCTTTTCTTCTCTCGTCTTTGTTCATTTCTACCCCCTCTTCAAATCTCAGCTCAAGTCTCTTCCTCACAATGTCTCTGCCCTGCAGCAGCAGTCCTCTGCCCTACGCTTTGTAGTTGGACACGAGTGTATTTGGTTAGTTTCAGTGTGCTCCACTGATTGTAAATGTTCCCCGGGGGCAGACAGTGAGTCATTTCCCTGTGTCAGCACCTCCTGTGGTGCCTGGCATGTGATTGGTTGGATGCTTGGGTAGAGGTCAGGAAGGCTGGAAGGCTTTTATCACTGTCCATTGTTGCCTCCTTTCAATCCCAGAATAAGTTTTGTTTATAAGTGTCCTTTATCCAGCAAAGTCCAGCCCAATGTTCCCACCAGTCTCTTCCATGAAAATTTATTAATGCCCTGCCCCAATTTGTTTGTTACTCTCTTTGACCTTCAGAACTCTAACAGGCTGGGCACGGTGACTCATGCCTATAATCCCAGCTCTTTGGGAGGCCTAGGTGGGAGGACCACTTGAGGCCAGGTGTTCAAGACCAGCCTGGGCAACATAGCAAGACACTGTCTCCAAAAAAAGGGAAAGAACTCCTGTCATAAAACCTTCGCACTCTTGTAATATTTGCACAGCCTTCTCCTGCAAGCTCTTCCAAGGTAGCTAGCAGCTGTTCATCTTTCATGTGGGGCCACTCAGGTGCAGAGCACCTAGAATTGTATGTATCAGTGCATATGAATGGAGCTTCAGTTCTCAGCCTTCATAGAAACTTTTGTGACAGTATGGTAGGAAAAATGTTGGTAAACAATTGATGGATCTTGTGTTTCTTCCTTCCTGTCTTGTTTATTAGACAGATACCTGGAAATCTCTTCCTTGGATGTCTAAGCCCATCTCATGGAGTCTGAACCTGTAGGGAGTGAGTAAGAGATCACAAGTTCCTAGTTATGTATTCAGGAAGTCTCTCATTGATCATTTCCACTAGACAGCCCTGCATTGCTTAACCACAGTGATCAGTTCTGAGAAATGCGCAGCTAGGTGATTCTCTCATGAGAACATCATAGAATGTACTTGCACAAACCTAAATTGTGTGGCCTGTGTCTCCCAGGCTGCAAACCTGTGAAGCGTGTGGCTGCCGAATACTGTAGGCAGCTGTAACAGTGGCAAGCATTTGTGTATGTAAACATTCCTAAACATAGAAAAGGTAGAGTAAAAATATGGTATTGTGATCTTACGGGACCACCATTATATGTGAGATCTATCGATGACCAAAATGTTGTTATGTGGCGCATGGCTGTACTGGGTTCTACTAAATATATGTAATGAATCTTTTTTTTTTTGTATTAAATTTTCATGTGTAAGCAATGAAACACAGGTAAAATCTTTCCACTGTCCATCTCCCTGCACGCTGATGGGGACATGACCTTTCAGCCATGTTCATAAATGTCTTATTCACATTAAAAAAGGACTGGAAACTTGTATTTCAGAATATGGTTATATCTGGGTGGTAGAATTGTACATTGTTTTTATTTTCTTCTTTATACTTTCCTGTCTGAATTGTAGTCAAAAAATGATTTTCAAAATCGTTAGTATATTTGAAATAACTGTGATAATAGAAGATTCATTACTTACCTTAGATCCGAGACTAGTAAACTTATTCTGTGAAGGGTAATGTAGAAAATATTTCAGGCTTTGCAGGCCACATGGTCTCTGTTACTTAGGTTGGTCATTAAAGCCTGGAAGGAACCGTGGACGATACCCACGTGTGTATACATGGTCCAGTAAAGCCCAGCCTCAGTTGCTGTAATTGGAATTTTGTGTGGTTTTCCTGCATCATGAAATATCATTTTTACTTTGGTTTTTTTTTTTCAACCACTTAAAAATATGAAAGCCCTTCTTAGTTCATGGGGTGCATAAAAACAGGCAGGAGCTGGGTTTGTCCCGAGACTGCACACGTTGCCTGAGTTGGTTATTTTCCTGAAAGTATGTTTCTAAGAAGTAATTACTGACACTTGTGGTTGTCTTGGACTCATCTCTATCTTAAGTACTACTGCCATAGGGTTGTTTTGTTTTTGCTAATTATCCTTAGCATTTTCTTAAGAGAAAAATATGTTTTTTCTCTCTCCAAAATAAATAATGAAAAAGCTTTTCAGGTGGAGGGAATACTTCAGCCATTTTGGAAATGTAAGTGAGTTTTGTTGAGTTGTTTCACTTCTGATGGCGGGAAATATACCACTGAGAGTAGTCAGTGCTATCGTGGGAAACATAAGAAAAGAAAGAGAAGAATTTCCTTTTTTGGGTCATTTGGACTCTGAGGCCGTTTGGTTAGTAGGTTCTGTTTCCTTAGTAAACAAAAGGGACATTTAGATCCCAGCCAGCCTTGAGCTTTTGGCATGTATTTTATAGCCAAGTGGTCCTCACAGAAAATCACAGCTGTGGATAGCAAGGGAGGACATCTCAGCAGTCACAGATTAACAAGTCTGACCTTAGAAACAGCACCTTTCTGTTTGTCAGAGTGTGGAAGCAGAGCTGCACCTGCATCTGCAACTCAGTGTGAGTCGTCATCATTTGTCGTGGTTTCAGTCAATGAGTAAGGGTGTTTTTCTTTTGATTTTAATAGTTTAAACATCTATATAAAATATAGAAGTGAAACACTAAAAATTACATTTTAGGAATTTCTGTGTATTTAATAGTTTTAGGAAAGTGCTTTCCAAAGCCTGGGGTCCACAGATTGCCTGCATCCAAGTCTTCTGAGTTGTTAAAATGCAGACTTCCAGGCACCCATACCTGTCTAATCAAATCAGAGTTTCTGCATATAGATCCCAGGAAAATGCATTTTTTTTTACAATCTCTGCAGTTGATTCTTTTGCACATGAAAGGTTGAAAACCATTAATTTAAGAGAGTAAGAGAGCAAACTAAGGGGTAGATGGATGGTGTTTTATCCAAGTGCTCCATCAGCTGTGATACTGCAGGGCGGCAGTGCCTTGTTATATCCTTGAGACAGCGCATTTGAAAGATGTTCTGAAAGCATTCTTAATGGTCGAAAGTGCAGTATCCCTCAAAATTTAGCCATTAAAAAAAGAAGGAATGTTTTCATTGAAACGTACGTATGCCAGCCCTTTAGGTTTGGGCTTTTTAAAGAAAATCACTAATCTGATCATGTTTACTTTCTAGTTCCTTTTACATCAGGAAGGGAAGAGATTTGTTTCCTTTTACTGTATTTCTACAAGGAGCATATTATAACTCTGTGCTGCAAAGAACAATAGTTAATGGACTTTTTTTCTTAACTAGGGGGAACGCCTAGTTTGAAAATATTATGGCTGAACCAAGAGCCAGAAATACAGGTTCGGCGCTTGGACACACTCCTAGCCTGTTTCAATCTTTCCTCCTCAAGAGAAGAGCTGCAGGCTGTCGAAAGCCCATTTCAAGCTTTGTGCTGCCTCTTGATCTACCTCTTTGTCCAGGTAATGTCCAGCTGCCCGTTCTAGTCACTGCAGCCTGCGCTTACTTTATGAGAGGGAGCATGTGGGATATTGCCATGGCTGGTGTCCCGGATTGTCTTTTTCCAATGTCTGTTCCATGGAACATTATTAGTCCTTTGAAGTGCTCTAAAAATAAAAAGAAGATTGTATGGCAAAATACGTACAAGAAACTCTGTCACTACCTCAGCTTTAGAGATTGTATTAGAGACTTAGGAAATCTTGCAGGTGGTGGAAGCTGCTCTGGCCTTGACTAAACTTTCTCAAACTTTGTGGACCATAGTGTACCTCCTCTGTCCTCGTGGCATTGTTTAGGTGGTGGTTCTTGTTTCTGGGTTTTAGTGTAAAGGTGAGAAAGGACCTGGCTAGAGACCTAGCTTCTCGTAGCTCTTTGCCTCTGGACAGACTACTTCAGCTTTTTCCTATGTCAGTTTCATTCCATCATCCAGCAAATGTTTATTGATTATATGCCTTCATTTTCTAATCTGAAAATGAAATAATCTTAGTAGCTGCCTCCTAGGGCTGTTGGGGCGATTTCAGGTGTCATAACCTTCATTATTTAGGTCCTCCCATCCTGCTGAGCTAGAGATTGTAGTGGTAGATCCTTCATTTAGGCTCACTCGACAAGGTGGACTGTTTCTTTTGCATTAGCTTTATATGTAGTTTATATGTGAAAATCATAAAAATCAGTTAAAAGATTCACCTTTTTAATAGTTTTCTACATGCACAATAGTGCTTGGACACCTTTAGTAAAAGAAAGGCTGAGAATGCTCCCATCTCCCAGCCCCTCTTTCTCTGCTTTGCTCCTCCCCACCTCCCTCCCTGGCTCTGTGATTTAAGATGATTTTTGTCCCACTGTTGACAAAGTGTCTACTTCTTCAGGCTGTTGAGATGTCTCATAAGCTTTCTTCACTCCTTCAAGCCATCGTCTCAGCTTCTCTGACCTCCCTATATGGTGGGTCTCCATTGGCATAGCCTTTCAGTGTTCACTTACCTGGAATAGACAATTATATAATTATTTTTTCAAACCTGAATTTACTTTACAAATTATTGATTGTCTTTAAGAAATGTACTCTTATTGTAGAAATACATCTCAAGGGAATCTTGGACTGATTTTTTCTTTCTAAATGTCCTCTTGGGTCTGCCCATTCTATAGCTTGCTCTACCTTTTGCATTTTGTAAGATGTGATATGGTTAAGTAGTGCTTAGAGGATTTATTGCTTCATTATTGGTTTCACATGCACCAATGTAAACCTTGGTTTTTGCATTACCATTTTGAGTAGATTACTTCTTTATTTGCTCAAGACGTAGCAGATTATAAATTAATGTAGGATGGCAGGAACTATTTAAAATGTAGATGTAAAAAGAGAGGAGATGAATCCAAGAGGCTGATTAGAAGCAGCTGCGGTCCGTGGCACTCACAGAGAGGAATGAAAAGGGGCAAGTGAATTCAGCACCTTCAACTGAAATACTCAGATTTTCACATTGGGACTGAGTAGGCAAACAACACAACCCACAGAGAACAAAGTAAACTAGGGGTGGAGGGCAGTGCCCCACCTGGGAACAGTATGGAGCCAAAGGAACCCCCACCCCCAGCCAGGGGAAGCCGTGAGTGATTGTGTGACCCTGCCTGGGAAACCATGCTTCTCCCATGGATCTTTGCAACCCATGTATCAGATCCCTTCATGAGCCCATACCACCACAGCCTTGAGTCTGATACACAGAGCTGTTTGGAGTCTCAGCAGAGCAGCTGCTCAGGCATACACAGAGACCCAAGAGTTTTACATACTCCGGCTCTGGGATCCCTGGCAAGACAAGAAATCTGTCTGTACATATCCCTAGGAAAGGGGCTGAATCCAAGGAGCCAAACGGCATCATTCTGCAGGCTGCACTTCCATGGCACCTCACAATTTAAGACCCTCTGGCTTGGAATCCCAGCCGGCCAATGGCAGTGAATTAGAGTCCTCCTTAGAAGGGTCCAAGTTCCCAGGAAGAGGGACGGCCACAGTTCAGTCAACTTACCTGCTTCAGCCTGCCAGCTTTGGAGAACACAGGCAGTCCGGATGAGGGAGGGTCCCCCATCTCCAGTGCAGCACATTGGCTCTACCAAAAAGCAGCCAGATCCCTGATCCTGTTCCTCCTGACTGGGTGAGTCCTCCCAGTAGGGGTCTCCAGCCACCTCCTACAGGTGGGTGTGGGCCAGCAACAGGTCAGTAACCACTAGGACAGAGCTTCCAGAGGAAGGAGCTGGCTGCCATCTTTGCTGTTTCACAGTATTCACTGGTAGTACCTCTAGGTATGGGAGAAACTGAGGCAACTGGCATCTGGAGTAGACCGCCAGCAAATGGCAACAGCCCTACAGTAGAATGGCCTGTTAAAAGAAAAACAGAAAACAACAACATCAACAAAAAAGACCCCACCAAAACCTCATTCAAAGGTTATGGATAGGGTTAGAGATCTCAAAGATCAAAGATAGATAAGCCTACAAACATGAGAAAGAATCAATGCAAACATGCTGAAAACTGAAAAAGCCAGAGCGCCTTTTCTCCTCCACGACTGCAACACCTCTCCAGCAAGGACACAGAACTGGGCTGAGGCTAAAATGCCTAAATCGACAGAAGTAGGCTTCAGAAGGTGGGTAATAATGAACTTCGCGGAGCTAAAGGAGCATGTTGTAATTCAATGCAAAGAAGCTAAGAAATATGTTAAAACTACAGCAGCTGATAGCCATAATAGTCAGTTTAAAGAGCAACATAACCAACTTGATGGAGCTGAAAAACACAGCATAAGAAATTCACAGAACTTCACAGTGCAATTACAAGTGTCAATAGCAGAATAGACCAAACGGAGGAATCTCAGAGCTCGAAGACTATCTTTCTGAATTAAGATAGGCAGACAAGAATAGAGACAAAAGAATTAAAAGGAATGAACAAAACCTCCAAGAAGTATGAGATTATGTGAAGAGACCAAACTTATGACTGATTGGGGTACCTGAAAGAGATGGGGAGAACGGAACCAAGTTGGAAAACATACTTTAGGATATCATTCAGGAGAACTTCCTCAACCTAGCAAGATAGGCCAACATTCCAATTCAGGAAATACAAAGAACCCCAGTAAGATAGTGTATGAGAAGATCAACCCCAAGACACATAATCATCAGATTCTCCAGGTTGAAATGAAAGAAAAAATGTTAAGGGCAGCCAGAGAGAAAGGCCAGGTCACCTACAAAGGGAAACCCATCAGACTAACAGCAGACCTCTCAGCAGAAACCCTACAAGCCAGAAGAGATTGAGTGCCAATACTCAACATTCTTAAGAATTTCCAACCCAGAATTTTATATCCAACCAAACTAACTTCATAAGCAAAGGAGAAATAAGATCCTTTTCAGACAAGCAAATGCTTAGGGAATTTGTCACCAACAGGCTTGCCTTGCAAGAGCTCTTGAAGGAAGCATTAAATATGGAAAGCCAAAACTATTACCAGCCACTACAAAAACACACTGAAGTACACAGACCAGTGATACTGTGAAGCAACCACATAAACAAGCCTGCAAAATAACCAACTAGCATCATGATGACAGGATCAAATTCACACAGAACAATAGTAACCCTAAACGTAAATGGGCTAAATGCCCCAGTTAAAAGGCACAAAATGGCAAGCTGGATAAAGAGCCATGACCCATCCATATGCTGTCTTCAAGAGACCCATCTCATGTGCAGAGACACACATGGGCTCAAAATAAAGGGTTGGAAGAAAATTTACCAAGCAAATGGAAAACAGAAAAAAGCAGAGGTTGCAATCCTAGTTTCTGACAAAACAGACTTTAAACCAACAAAGATTTAAAAAAGACAAGAGTATTACATAATGGTAGAGGATTCAATTTAACAAGAAGAGCTAACTATCCTATGTATGTATGCACCCAGTACAGGAGCACCCAGACTCGCAAAGCAAGTTCTTAGAGACCCACAAAGAGACTCCCACACAATAATAGTGGGAGACTTTAACACCCAACTGACAAATATTAGATCATCAAGACAGAAAATTAATAAAGACATTCATGACCTGAACTCAGCTCTGGATCACTTGGACCTGATAGATAGCCACAGAATTCTCCACCCAAATTCAACATAATATACATTCTTCTCATTGCTGCTCGGCACTTACTCTAAAATGGATCACATAATCGGAAGTAAAACACATCTCAGCAAATGCAGAAGAGCTGAAATCATAACAAACAGTCTCTTAGACCACAGAGCAGTCATATTTGAACTCAAGATTAAGAAATTCACTCAAAACCACACAACTACATGGAAATTGAACAACCTGCCCCTGAATGACTCTTGGTTAAATAATGAAATTAATGAGAACAAAGAGACTACTTACCAGAATCTCTGGGCTGCAGCTAAAGCAATGTTAAGAGGGAAATTTATAGCACTAAATGCTGGAAAGATCTCAAGTTAACAACCTGACATCTCTACTAAAAGAACTAGAGAACCAAGAGCAAAAGAAAACCCCAAAGCTAGCAGAGCACAAGAAATAACCAAGATCAGAGCTGAACTGAAGGAGATAGAGACACAAAAAACCTTTTAAAAAAAAATCAATGAATCCAGGAGCTGTTTTTTTTTAAATTAATAGACCACTAGCTACACTAATAAAGAAGAGAGAAGAATCAAATAAATACAATCAGAAATGATAAGGGGGTTATCACCACTCACCTCACAGAAATATAAGCAACCATCAGAGAATACTGTAAACACCTCTGTGCACATAAACTAGAAAATCTAGATGACATTGATAAATTCCTGCACACATATGCCTTCTTGAGACTGAACCAGGAAGAAATTGAATCCCTGAATAGACCAATTGAATCCCTGAGTAGACCAATAATGAGTTCTGAAATTAAGGCAATAATAAATAGCTTACCAAACAAACAAAAAAAAATCCAGAACCAGATGGATTCACAGCTGAATTCTACCAGAGGTACAAAGAAGAGCTGGCACCATTTCTACTGAAACTGTTCCAAAATATTGAAAAGGAAGGACTCCTTTCTAACTTGTTCTATGAGTCCAGCATCATCCTGATACCAAAACCTGGTAGACATAGAACAAAGAAAGAAAACTTCAGGCCAATATCCTTGATGAACATTGATGCAAAAATCCTCACTAAAATACTGGCAAACCAAATCCAGCAGCAGATCAAAAAGCTTATCCACCATGATCTAGTTGACTTTATCCGTGGGAACTAACTTCAGCAAAGTCTCGGGATATAAAATCGCCAGTATTCCTATACACCAACAACAGGAAAGCAAATCACAAATAAACTCCCATTCACAATTGCTACAAAAAGAATAAAATACCTAGTAATACAGCTAACAAGGGAAGTGAAGGACCTCTTCAAGGAGAACTAAAAACTACTGCTCAAAGAAATCAGAGAGGACACAAACAAATGGAGAACCATTCCATGCTCATGGATAGGAAGAATCGACATTGTGAAAATGGCCATATGGCCCAAAGTAATTTATAGATTCAATGCTATTCCCATTAAACTACCATTGACATTCCTCACAGAATTAGAAAAAACTATTTTAAAATGCATACAGAACCAAAAAAGAGCCTGAATAGCCAAGACAATCCTAAGCAAAAAGGGCAAAGCTGGAGGCATCATGCTACCCAACTTCAAACTATTCTACAAGGCTACCATAACCAAAACAGCATGGTACCCATACAAGAACAGAAACATAGAACAATGGAACAGAATAGAGAACTCAGAAATAAGACCACACATCTACAACCATCTGATCTTTGACAAACTTGACAAAAATAAGCAATAGGGAAAGACTCCCTCTTTAATTAATGGTGCTGGGATAACTGGCTGAGCCATATACAGAAAATTGAAACTGGATCCCTTCATTACACTATATACAAAAATTAACTCAAGATGGATTAAAGACTTAAATGTAAACCCAAAAATATAAAAACCCTAGAAGAAAATCTAGGCAATACCATTCAGAACATAGGCATGGGTAAAGACTTCATGATGAAAACACCAAAAGCAATTGCAACAAAAGCAAAAATTGACAAATGGGATCTAATTAAAGAGCTTCTGCACAACAAAATAAACTATCATCAGAGTAAACAACCTACAGAATGGGAGAAAATTTTTACTATGTATTCATCTGACAGAGGTCTAATATCCAGAGTCTACAAAGAACTTAAACAGATTTACAAGAAAAAAAGCAAAAAAACAATCCCATTAAAAAGTGGGCAAAAGACATGAACAGACACTTCTCAAAAGAGGACATATAGCCGGGCGCGGTGGCTGATGCCTGTAATCCCAGCACTTTGGGAGGCTGAGGCAGGCAGATCACGATGTCAGGAGATCAAGACCATCCTGGCTAACACGGTGAAACCCCGTCTCTACAAAAAAAAAGAAAAAAAAAAATTAGCCAGGAGTGATGGCAGGCACCTGTAATCCCAGCTACTTGGGAGGCTGAGGCAGGAGAATGGTGTGAACCCGGGAGGTGGAGCTTGCAGTGAGCCGAGATCGTGCCACTGCACTCCAGCCTGGGCAATAGAGTGAGACTCTATCTCAAAAAAACAAAAAGGACATATATGCAGCCAACAAACATATGAAGAAAAGTTCAACATCATTGATCACTAGAGAAATGCAAATCAAAACCACCATGAGATACTATCTCATGCCAATCAGAATGGCTATTATTAAAAAGTCAACAAATGGTGGCGAGGTTGCAGAGAAACAGGAACACTTTTACACTGTTGGTTGGAGTGTAAATTAGTTCAACAATTGTGGAAGACAGTGTTGTGATTCCTCAGAGACCTAGAGGAGAAATACTATTTGACCCAGCAATCCCATTATTGAATCTACCCAAAGGAATAGAAATCATTCTATTGTAAAGATACATGCATGAGTATGTTCACTGCAGCACTATTCACAATAGCAAAGACATTGAATCAACCTAAATGCATATCAGTGATAGACTGAGTAAAGAAAATGTGGTACATATACACCATGGAATACTATGCAGCCATAAAAAGGAACTACATCATGTCCTTTGCAGGGACATGGATGGAGTTGGAGGTCATTATCCTCAGCAAACAAACACAGGAACAGAAAACCAAATATTGCATGTTCTCACTTATAAGGGGGAGCTGAATGATGAGAACACAGGGTCACATAGCAGGGAACAACACACACTGGGGACTGTGAGGGGGTCGGGGAGGGGGAAGGAGAGCATCAGGAAGAATCGCTAATGGATGCTGGGCTTGATACCTAGGTGATGAGATGATCTGTGCAGTAACCCATCATGGCACGTGTTTACCTATGTAACAAGCCTGCACATCCTGCATATGTACCCCCAAACTTAAACTTTGGAGGAAAAAAATGTAAAAAGATATTTCTTTTGATATTATATGTTAAATATGCATGTATGCACTATTGGTTAATATTTTCTATTTTCTAATAATCTACAGGTGTCTGTAGTTAACGTTGAGTCATAGTGGGACTTGAGAAGTGGTGCATAGCCAGTAAGCTGACTTTTCCCACCCATAAAAATACATGTGTTTTGTTCTTGATACTATGTGTGTGCACAACAATGGGAAGGCCATTGTCAGCCCCCCAGGAGGGACACACCGCCTGCTGTTCCATATGAACGATGCTTGCTGATCCTGTGTGTGGTCACGCAGCGCAGTTCTACCTTCCCATCCCTGTGCAGGTGACTGTCAGTTCTTTAAATTCACTTCAAGCAGAAAAAGCCCAGGACCCCAGAACAGTAACATCACATCCCTGTTTATATAAGCCTGAAGCAAGACAAGCGTCAGGAAGAAAATTTCCACTTTACCTTTTTTCTATTAATAAAGACCTTTTAAGTAAAATCTCTGTAGTGCAAGTTGGCATGAGCAGACTTGGTAACTTGTCTTTAAAGGAGAGGTTTAAATTGGAACTTTTAAAAACTAGAAAACAACAGATTGATAAATCAATTTTGTATTCGCTAGATGAAGAAGGTGCTGTATTATTCCCAGGGATAATAACTCTCAGAATTAATCAGGCTAAAAAGATACATTTATAAAAATATTACAGTTTTATATATTAAGCCTAAATTCGATGTTTTGATGTGTAATATGGGATAAAATAACATACTGTTCAGTGCATGAAAATGACAGAGAAACTAAATACAGTTGTGTCTTGGTATATGTGAGGGATTGGTCCCAGGACCCCCAAGGATGCCAAAATCCATGCATCCTCAAGTCCTGCGGTCAGCCTGTGGAGCCCACAGATTTGAAAAGCTGGCCCTTTATATTCGGGTTTTACATCCCATGAACATTGTATTTTTCCATCTGCATTTGGTTGAAAAAAAATCCACATATAAGTGAACCCATGCAATTCAAACCTGTATTGTCAGGGGTCAACTGTACTCTCATTTGGTCTGACCTCCCAGTTAACAACAGCCACAAATGATTTTATTAGAGACTCATCTGAGAATATCCTCTGGAAAGGTAAGTTTACATCATAGAAATGCATATATTTTATATTCCTTTTATTCCAAAGTAATACCTACTTGGAATAAAAGTGGACTAGGATAGTGACATGGTGAGTAAGAGCATTGGCAGGTCCAAGCAGCAGTCAGCACCCCCACCCTGGTGGAAGCAAATGCCGCCATCCTCCAGGGGAGCACAGGAGTCTTTCTGATTTATGGTGGGGTTGTTTTTATTGCAAATAGGCATGTTAGCCATTTTTAATATCCAAGAAGAATCAGTGAAGTTGTTATTCATGGGTCTGCTGTTGGCTTTCTGTTTCTTTTTCCGCGAGCCTTTACTTGCCGCAGAAGGTGCTCTTCTGAGAGAAGCAGCTCTTGCGGCCTTAGGATGCTGTGGAGTCGTTCAGTCAGCGGGCACGTCCTGCCTTTATCTGGGTAGCTGAACGCGGTGGCTGGGAGAGGAATGTCTCTACCTCCTCACAGTGTGGGGCAGGGGAAGGGGTGGCACCGTCTGCTCTTGATGGGGTCTGGACCGTCCGTGTCTTCCCCGCTCTTCACGCCCTCTCCTTATCTCCATCATCTACTCCACACCAAGCAGTGTTCAGTCTGTCCTTTGCTGTCTCTTGTTCCTCTGTCCCTCCTTCCTTTTCTCACTTTTGCTGCATCTTGATTCCACAGAGGATTAGTAGGGTCTCATATTGTGGGTTCTGATTTACTCTCAACTAGGATTCGAGGACACAGGTTTCCTCTAGGTTGCCAAAAGTGGATGATGACCCCAGCTCAGCCCAGCTGTGGATATTCGCTCTCTGAAAACCCCTGAACTGTTTGCTCTGTGCAATTTGTCCCAAACGTGATCAACTGTCTGGCTCTAAGACCTGGTCTTGGTTGGCACCTCATGATTATTCCCAGATGTTCTGCGGAGTTTTGCCTTGTTAGAGTCTAACCTGACTAGAAATTCAGGCTCCCCTTCCAGCTGGGCTGTGAGTTGTGTGCACAACTGGGGACACCATAGAGAGAGCTTCACAGCCAGGAGCCAAGGATGGTGTGAAGAGGCTGTGCTCTTTCCACCTGCATACTGTCTGCTGCCTGAGGTCTGATGCACCATGTGTGTGCCTGTGCATGTGCCTGTTTGTGCACCTGTGCGTGTGCCTGTGTGTACACCTGTGTGTGTACATGTGTGCCCATGTGTGTGTGCATGCCTGTGCGTGTACCCATGTGTGTGCACCTCTGTGTGCTTGTGTGCACATGTGGGTGCCTGTGCGTGTGCCTGTACGTGCCTGTGTGTGCATGTTTGCGCCTATACACACACTCATAGTTAATAACTGAGATCAATTTGTAAGAAATGTTTAATTTTTCCTGTAGCCTAACACTGGCCTTTCTCTGTCCTTTTCAGGTGGACACGCTTTGCCTGGAGGATTTGCATGCGTTTATTGCGCAGGCCTTGTGCCTCCAAGGAAAATCCACCTCGCAGCTTGTAAATCTACAGGTACAGACGTGACCAGTTAGTTGTCACTGCCCGGAAGACAGCTGTGCAGTCCAGCCTTCTCTTTCCCATTATAGTTGAAGTTTCACAGAAAAGATCAGGAAGGTATTTTAGTCAGGATCTTTTCGTGATGCAGTAGTTTGTCTTCGTCTCTTTAATGGCTCTGGGATGAGCAGCCAGATGAGGTACTAATAGGTGCTGCCTCAGTTCCAGTTTTGTGAAACTTGTAGTTCTCAATACTGCCTTTATAGGCTAGTGATTTGAAGAGAATAGGTTATGTGGTTCTCTATAAACCTTATTAATTTCTGGTGTTAGCAGTTTTGGCCCTCCCTTGGCCTGCCTCCCAGATGGCTGCTGGCTGAAGGGTGGGGCCGCCTGGCACCTTCCTGGATCCCTCCTGGCGCGTTGGCTGTGGCAAGCGTTCAGTAAAGAACTTCATATGAGGGAGAGGGTACACCTCAGCTGGGAGATCCGCAGCCTCTATTGTTTGTATTCAGACATGCCCTCCGGGAGTGCTTATTTCTTTAATTTCACAAAATGGCCCAATCACAGCTAAGTTCCACAGCTCTCCTCTGTGGCTGCACACTTGTGGACCTGGGTACTGGGTGTTGTTTCCTGTTAGAATATCCCAAGGTCAAGTCACCTGTGGATGGAATCTTAAAATTCTGCTTTATCAATGCCATCTGATCGTGGTTATTGGTTTATCCATAGCTGTAGTTTAGTTGCATTCGTTTTACTTGTTTTTCTAATGGAAAAAACTAAGTTTCATTTATAAATGGCTTTTACTCAAACCTCACAACTTAGGCCGGGTGCAGTGGCTCACGCCTGTCATCCCACCACTTTGGGAAGCCGAGGCGGGTGGATCACCTGAGGTCAGGAGTTCCAGACCAGCCTGGCCAACATGGTGAACCCTCATCTCTACTAAAAATACAAAAATTAGCCAGGTGTGTGCCTGTAATCCTAGCTACTTGCAAGGCTGAGGCAATAGAATCGCTTGAAACTGGGAGGCAGAGGTTGATGTGAGCTGAGATCGTGCCATTGCACTCCAACCTGGGCAACAAGAGCGAAACTCTGTCTCAAAAAAAAAAAAAAATCACCTCACAACTTATTTTTTTTTTGGTGTTAAGACTCACTCTGTTGCCCAGGCTGGAATGCAATGGCTCAGTCCCTGCTCACTGCAACCTCTGCCCCATAGGCCCAAGTGAGCCTCCCACCTCAGCCTCCTGGGTAGCTGGGACCACAGGCATGCACCACCCTGGCTAATTTATATGTGTGTGTGTACATGTGCGTGTACATGTGTGTGTGTGGAGACGACATCTCATTATGTTGCCCAGGCTGGTCTCAGACTCCTGGGCTCAAGCCATCCTCCCGCCTGGGCCTCCCAAAGTGCTGGGATTATAGGTGTGAGCCACCACACCCGGCCACAACTTTCAATACTAGGTTTCATTCATAAACTAATTCTCATAGCATAGCAGTCCAACTAATGAACAATGCCAGATTTTTTTTTGTATTAGAAATTTCATAGCATCAGTATCCAAAAAGTGGCCTTTTTTTCCTCCATTAAGCAAAAACAGAATTTTAAAATGTTAATTTTAAGTTATCAGTAGGTTAATGTGCATTCTTCACGCCGAGCGGCAGCCCTGGCCTCCCTCCTGGGCCCTGGTTGTGGCTGCCATTGGCTGTGGGTGTTTGTAGCAGCTGCTGAGCCATTTCCATTATAGTCTGGGGGCCTCACCTGCTCCCCTCTTCCCTGTCAGAAGAATTAAACAACAAGACAGAAGTATTACAGAAAGGAACCCTGGGTCCTGTTCTCTGGTCCTAGGCCATGTGGGCAACATAGCACTGGAGTCTGAGAGTCACACAGATGAGGGAGCTGGGTCTACCCTTCACCAGCTATGGGGTCTTGAGCAGGTTCTTAAGGACATACGGCAAGTAACCAAACTTCTGTGTGCCTCAGTGTCCTCTCATTTGTAAAATGAAGAAACCAAGATTTAAATGCAGCAGAAGGTGTACTGTTCTTCGTAGGCATTTAGTGCATTCGATCTTCGTTTCCACACCCCGTGGATGTGCACACCCTTGCCATGTTGTAATTGGCAAGGCTAAAGTAGAGCCAGGCTTTTGACACCCTGTCCGGGGTTCTGGCCATGCTGCCACTTTCCATGAGAAAGACATGATTAAATAAAGATGCTGTAGAAAAAGGTTGGTTTTAAAAGCACTCCCATAAGTACGCAGCCATCACACAGAGGCCACTTCCCCTCAGCCATCCACTCAGCAGCACTGGCGTATACAAACGTAGCAGAGACTTGTCCCATGCTTCTAGTTCTGTTCTGTTAGAAGTGGGACCTGTGCCAATTATTATTAATCATTGGTTCCTTCTGAGAATTGTGACTGGGCAGCTTGTGATCCCTGAGGTCACTTAGGAAAATGCTTCCACAAGGAGGGCGTTTTTTCTAACAAACCATGGCACTAAGAACAGAAAGTGAGTTTCGTTCATCTCCCCACCAGCCAAGGACTGGCTTGAAATCCTAGGTAGGGCAGAGTCACCACTCAGCAGCCCTGCTGGCTCCCTCCTGTGAAAGGTGGAGATGTGGTTTGGGGAAGGAGTTGGGTCCAGGTGCAGCCTCCCCACAGCCTGACTCTGTTCTGACTGCTTCACGTTGCAGTCGTATTGCATTGGGAGTTCGCAGTGGCTTTCTCAATAATGAGCTAATTGAGCCACAGAGGTGTGTGCCCTGGTGTCACCAGCCACTGTTGGGTAGGTGGCTCTTCTGGCAGTGGGTAAGTCACTGTTGCTCATAGTGAATTTTAAAACACCCTATTAGTTCTTTGCCCAACATTACTTTCCTACTCAAATATAGCCTTAAAACTATATATATATACGTGTATATATATATATATATATATATATATATATATATATACACGTATATATATATATACGTGTATATATATAGTTACATACATATTAAAAATTTAGGTGACTGGATTATATGTGTAAAGGTGCATAGTACATATTTATGTATATACACATTCATTTACCTACATAGAAATACATAAGAATACAAGAACCCTTAACCTGCAATAATGTTATAAGTAAAGGAAAGAAGAAAGAAGGAAAGCAGTATTACTTACAGTTTAAGAAAACCAAAACATGACTTTTAAAAGTAAAGGACAAAGGATAGTTGTGCACGTGACGGGAGGCTGCTGTTTTCTGGATACCAAGGACAGGCCTGTGAGCAGAAATGATGGCAGTTGTTTTCCCTTTGTAGTTAGGTCTCTGAGTGCCAGTTATGTGTTTGCCAGTTTTCCTATTCATGTCTGTAACTTTCAGTGTGAGCTTCTAGTGTATGGTTCTAGAGAACATACCTGCTCGACTGAACTTTGAATAGGACATGTGATCCTTCATACATAGTGTGTACAACCCTTGTGATCATACATACACATACGTATAGATGTATGTAGGATTTAAGTTAGAATCTTTCTTTTTTAATTTTTTGAGACAGAGCCTCGCTCTGTTGCCCAGGCTGGAGTGCAGTGACGTGATCTCAGCTCACTGCAACCTCCACCTCCTGGGTTCAACTGATTCTCATGCCTCAGCCTTCTGAGTAGTTGGGATTCCAGGCACACACCACCACACCCGGCTAATTTTTGTATTTTTGGTAGAGACAGGGTTTCACCATGTTGGCCAGGCTGGTCTTGAACTCCTGACCTCAAGTGATCTACTCACCTCAGCCTCTGAAAGTGCTAGGATTATAGGTGTGAGCCACCACATCTGACCAGAATCTCTTTATAGTACAGAAGTAAAGTAAATTAAGCAATAGGCTGAATTATATTATGGACCAGTAAATTGTGAGGTCTCCCTCTTCAAACAACTTGAAGGGGGGAGGTAGAGACAGGGCAGAAGAGGACATGAACTCTGGCACCCTCAGTACCCTGCTTATTGATGTGACAGGAGGAATGTTTCTGTGGACATTCAAGGTTATGGATCACTCTCCTGTTGCCATCCAGCTCTCCACAGCTGGTGCCCTTGTGGGCCTGGAGTCCAGCATCCTGGTTCAGGCTTCTGTCTGCAGTCAGTGGGCATACCATGTACTGTCTAGGAATGTGGAAAGAGGTATAATTGTCTACCTGCCACTCTCCCAGTGTTCTGTAAGAATCTGATACAGGCCCAGATCATTTTGTAAAGTCCTCTGTAGAACACGATGCCATGGTTGCCGTTATTCTCTCATTGAGCAGAGTGGAGTGTGTACTACGTATACTGCCGTGGGTCCAGGCCCAGTGTGTGCACTCACATGGTGTGTGCTCAGAAGTCATTTTGCTCTCATCCCAGGGTGCAATAATAATAATAATTTGTTTTCTTTCTTTTTTCTTTTTTTTTTTTTTTGAGACAAGGTCTGGCTCTGTTGCCCAGACTGGAGTACAGTGGTACAATCTTGTCTCACTGCAATCTCTGCCTCCCAGGCTCAAGCCATCCTCCCACCTCAGCCTTCCTAGTAGTTGGGACTACAGGCGCACACCACCATGCCTAGGTAATTTTTGTATTTTTTTTTTGAGAGATGGGGTGTTGCTATGTTGCCCAGGATGGTCTCGAACTCCTGAGCTCAAGCAATCCTCCTGCCTCAGCCTCCCAAAGTTCTGGGATTACAGGCAGGAGCCACCACCGTGGCAATGATGATTTTATAAATGAGCTCTTGCTCTCTTTTTGGAGAAAAAGCCGAGAAATTCCTCTGCCTTTCTTTGCCCCATCAGTTTATCTTTGCCGTGTCAGGGCTCTGAAAGCCACAAAACCATCACCCCTCCTCCTGCTGGCTTTGTCTCCAGCCCGCTCTCCAGGTGGAGGCTCTGACTGTTAGGGAATTCTGGCTCCGTCTCTTACACACTGAGAACTCCATGAGCTGGTACCTTAGCCACTTTTTCTAGTGCCTCATAGCTAATCATTGGGAAGTTCTTGGTCATTTTTTGGTTGGAAAATTAAAAGGAAAAGATGTGAGTTGATGAAAGATAAAATTTTACTATAAAATTCAAGCCATCTTCTTAAGATTCCCCTGCATGTGGCTGCCTCGTACCCACCGCTGTCCCTGGTGTGCATGGCGAGTGCAGCAAGTCACACCTGTGTCAGCAGCATCGTCCTCTGCCTTGTACAGCACAGCTTGGCCTGGGGCCTGCTGGGGCGCTCAGAAAACAGCAAGCTGTGTGTGCTGTGTTTGTTAACATAGAGTGTGATGACTGATCATTGTCTATGCCAGTAGCAGCTTTTAGTGAAAATACAGGTCCCAGGCAAGGCCTGAAGCCCCAGTTTTTACTTTATTTTGATTACAGGATCATAACAATAAAGTAATTCTGGATCTCCATTTCCTTGGTAATCACTGTGCTGTGATAGTGTGTGCACCAGCGAAACATGGCATTCCTACAGTGAGATTATATCAAGAAAGCACTTATTAAACATCATGTTTTATTTTGTTTTTTTTAGACAGAGTCTCACCCTGTCACCCAGGCTAGAGTGCAGTGGCGCGAACTCAGCTCACTGCAACCTCAGCCTCCCGAGTAGCTGGGATTACGGGCATGCACCACCACACCCAGCTAATTTTTGTATTTTCAATAGAGATGGGGTTTTACCATGTTGGCCAGACTGGTCTGGAACTCCTGACCTTCAGTGATGGGCCTGCATCAGCCTCCCACAGTGCTGGGATTACAGTCATGAGCAGCCACGCCCAGCCAAAACATAATTTTTTAAAAATGTGTTTTGTTTTTTTGGGATGTGGCTATGTGCTGGTGATTTGTGCTGCATTTCCCCTTGTTCAGTCACTGAGAGAGATGCCTGCCCCTTCCATTGCATGAAGTCACTGAAGCAAAGGCTGAAAAATGCCCAACTTCCATATCCAGGGGCCCTGAGTCTCCTCCACCTTCTCCGACCTCTTCTCCTTTGAGCCTGCGATGTCCCTTTTATTTATCTTTGTTCAGCAGCACCTTTCACACTGTGGGCCTTGTTCTGAATCCACATGCCAAGTCACTATCCCAGAGTCCTGGCTAGGTTGGTCTGGTGTGTGTTCTGAGGGGGACTCGTGGGTGAGAAGCCAGAGTGTCCCACTTAGGGTTTTCAGTTTCCCTTCTCTCCTAGACTAATGCCCCTTTGAGGAAAGGGACAGTGTTCTTGCTCCTCTTTATTTTCCAGCACCCAGCATCCTGCCAACATTGATTAACTTCATTAAATGGATACCTGCAATTTAAAAGTATACATGAGCATTTGCTGAGACAGGCAGAGTCTGTCTGGTTCAGCAAAGTGTTTGTGCAAATACAAAGCAGGTGTCTAGACAAAGCCCCATCTTTGCAGAGCTCCCTCTGACACCTCTCTCTGGGGTTCTCTACAATTCTAGTCTCAAGAGCTGATGGGGGCACTTGGGACAGGGATGCCTGGGGGCCCTTCAGAGGCTGGTGCTGCTGAAACACAGATGCTGGCATGCCTTTCTTTCCTCCCCAAGATCATCCTCTTCAGATAACTGTGGTGGCGTTTTCATTTCTCACCCCTCTGTTACCTGGAAATGCTATGAGCTTGTAGATTGCAGTGGTGAGTGAGACCTACAGTTGGTGAAGCTAAAAGCCCTTTCGTACATGTTCATATAGATGACCATGGGATGATTTTCTGATTCACTGGATTGACTTCTGGGTTGAAAAGCAAAGCTAGGGCTCTGGAGTTTACAACATCAGAATGAGAGGAGGAGAGGATGGGGCAGAGTGCAGAAAAGGGCGTGGTGTGCCTGGGGCACGTACTCCTGCCGAAACCCCCAGTCAGGCTGAGCCCTAGGCCATCTCCTGTCTCCTACAGCTCCCTCCTGGCACTTTACCCACATGGAATTGAATACGTATTTGTGTGTGTGTGAAGGTGGTCAGACTTTGAGCCCACTTGGATTTTCTGAGACCAAAATGTCATAAACCAAGGCTAATGAGAGGCTTATGTCTGAACATGGAGGACGAGGATTCATGCTGGCTGTGGGGATTTCTCAAGACGGTGGCAGAAAAGAGTCTAGGTTCATCTGCTGCTTGGTCTGCAGGGTTCCTTCTCGCCTTACTAGGGATGACAGCTGTGGTCTATGTCATGCATTCTTGGCTGTTTGAAACTAAAGTTGTGTCTTGGACTTCACCCTTTGGTTTTGCCCCTTGTTCTCAAATAATGTCCACCTGAAGAAAGAGGTTGCAGACAGTGCTTTTGATGATAGCAGATGCTGAAGCATGAACCCATGGAGGAAAGAATTGCCCAGGAAAAAAGCCCAGATGTTTTCTGTTCGTGAACTAGATGTGTCCTCCTGAGGGAATTCAAATCAAAGAGTTGGCAAAACTGGGTGGTGGCAGTGGTAGAGAGGCATGAGCACGGGCCTCCTGACACACACACACACCCCTCCCTCCCCCCCCTCCCCCCTGCCAGGCTGCCTGGAGCAGGGCTCGGCCCCTGACACCCCGCCTCCCCCACAGGCTGCCTGGAGCAGGGCTCTGCTGGAATCACGGAAGGAACACACACCCTTTTTGAGACTATCAGAATTGCAAAGCCTGGCCAGTTGGTGCAAGTGTTTATCCGCCTGCCATCACCATCGGGTGGGGTGGTCTGTGACAGGCTCAGCAGGTGTTGGTAAAAGGACCCTTGGCCAGAAATGCAAAGGGGACAGAGCAGGAACTCCTCACAATCATAACAGCAGTGAGCTGTTTCTTGTTCTCTGTGGGAAAATGCTTGGAGCCTAAGTCTTGTACGAAAAAATAGATAAATAAGCAAAATGTAGACTCAGTGGCATTCTGTCATTCAGTGGCATGTTGCACATCCAGACTCTCAAGATATAATACAAGTTTCTCTGCAGCTGTTGGGAGGTGGCACTAAATCGTTGTTCTTGGGAGTTAGATTCTGCTGCCTGAAAGCTGAAAGGGAAGCAAAGGCCTCCCCAGTTATCCTGGTGAGACGAGAGCTTGGTGTGTGGGGAGCTGAGAGCTGGGACTCATGGGTGGGGGAAGCGGTTAGGTTCTGGCCAGTTGCCTTGGCAGAGCCTTGCTGGCTCCTAGGAAAGAGTAGGAGTCTCTCCATTGCATCTGGGAAGTGGGGGTGGCCGGGAAGGGGAATGGCAAGTGGGGAGGGGCAGGCAGCTGAGTCTATTTGGCTGGACCTGTGCTCTGAGGGGCAGGTGCCAGGGCATGAGGGAGAGTGGCGTGTGAGCGCACCTGAGTGGGGTTCCCCTGGTGGCCTACACCCGTCAGGGGCCCATGTCACCCACAGGAGGGGAAGCTTCACTTGGGAGGTGAGGGGTGGAGTGGAGAGAGCTCAGGGCCAGCATGGTCTCTGGTGTGGGGTGAATGGGGGTTGAGAGGAGCCAGCGAAGGCTTAGAGGGTGAAAGACTAGGTGAGGCGTAGCCAGGGACAGCAGGCTGTTGAGAAGAACATTGTGACATTATCCAACAAATGAGTACTTTGTCGGCATGAGTACACAAAGTGAACAGTGTTCTGGGCCTTGATCTTCCCCTAGTCCTGTTGATTATGGCCTCAGGTCAGGACACACACACTCACCGCCCTGCCCAGCCTCGGATAAGCTCATGTTATTTTTTAGATTTTTTTTTTCTCTTTCTTGTTGCCATATTCATATTCAGGACTTTGATGAGAGAAGAATGAGGTAGAACATGCTCATTGCATCTGAGCCCACACTGCTTTGATCCTTTTCTTCTCACCAGAAACAGTTCATTAACCTAGAATAAGTCACTTTTAAGCTTGTTTTAAATTGTGACAATTCTGATTTAAACAAATTTTTCTTTTTAGGTTAGCTATAAAACTCACCAGTAGAAGTTGAAAATAAAAATAATTCTATGCCATTGAATCTCCAAATGATATTTTTATTTTGCTACAAATTAATGAAACTTTAAATGATAATGATACTCTCACTTTGTCAAAAGATTCAACCAGGGGTTACCAGACTATCGCCCATAGGCCACATTCCGCCACCAGCATGTAGTGAAGCCTGTGAGCTAAGAATGGTGTTTGTTTCTAAATGGTTAGGGAAAAAGTCAAAAGAATAATATTCCATGATGTGAAAATTACATGAAACGCAAATTTCTATGTCCGAAATGGTTTTCTTGGCACATAGCCATGCTCAGTCATTTGCAGCTGCCTTTGCCCTGCAACAGCAGAGTTGAACGGCTGCGAGAGACATCATATGGCCCACAAAGCCAAAAGTGTTTCCATCTGGCTCTTTCCAGAAGAGCGTGCTGACCCTTGGCTGGAGCCAGCAGGTAAGTCCGCGGGGAGACGGCAGGATGGGGAGCCCCATGCTTTTGTCTCTGTGCCCCTCCTGCAGCCAGGTCTGCACGCACACACAGTGACAGTAATAACCCCATGCGTGAATGTAGCAAGTTTTAAAGACATTAGAGGGCTTTGGTAGTTAGTTTTCATGTCATTCCTTTGAGGTAATTAAGTCCTATCTTATTCTTAGAAAAATGAAGATATAATTATGTGTCTTGGCATTGGTCCTTATAAAGGAGCTGAAGTGAGGATATAAATTCCCTGACTCTTGGTTCCACTTCCACCTAATTCTCCTACACAAAGACCCTCGCCATGATAAAACCTGGATTTGGGAGTCTGTAGGGGTAGGGCTGTGGCTGACTCACATGGATCTCCTCACACCTATTAGGGGGCCTTACAAGCATCAAGTGCCTTTTTAAGATGAAGTCATGTTTCCAGTTGACATAATAATTGTGCATATTTATGGGGTACAGTGAAATGTTTCAATATGCATGTATGTTGTGTGATTTAATATTGAAGTGTAATGTTGCCTGTTGGTTCAGAGCACAGTGGTACCTTAGAGACAGTTCAGTCAAGCACTTTTGTCTTATAGACCAGGGTTTTAGGCTCAGATTAGTGGAACGGTTTGCACCAGGTCAAGGTATAGTGCATGTCTGAGCTGATCAAAAGGCCAAGGTTCCGAGTTCCACCATGCACTCCCTTTACTTCCTGTCTTCTCACCAGACAGTGAGACACCTCTAAAGTGATAAGCAGGTATGCCATGTGTCAAAAGCAGATTTAGAAACCTTCTCATAAAAGATCTTTACTCAGTGCTGCTCTTGGTGAATTCTCACTTTACAAATTGAATATTTTTCTGTAGGCAGAATCAAAATGCTTTGAAGACATAATGAGATCAAGCCGTTAAGATGGCGCTTTACCGATTAAATCCCTAAGACAACCATGAAAATACAGGATTGTGTAATATGTTTTCAAGGAGATATTTACAAAAATGTTTTTACTTCCCTACACAAGTTCACAGAAGAAATACAATTTTTAAAGAAGGAAAAATGCTTTCATTATTGGGCACTCAATAAAAATTTGGTGAATGAATGAATAGTAGATGTACTGGTCAGTTTGGGCTGCCATAACAAAACACCACGGACTGGGTGGCCTAAAACCACAGACATTCCCTTCTCAGTGTTTTGGAAACTTGATGTCCAAGATCCATGTGCCAGCAGCTCTGCTGTCTGCCGGGGCGGGGCGGGGGGGCTCCCTCCTGGCTTGCAGGCAGCCAGTTTCTCACTATGTCCTCATAGGTTGGAGAGCAGAGAGCAGTCTCCTGAGGGCACTCACCTGCTTTGGTAGGGTGCCCCCCACCCCCCCACCATGAGCCAATCAGCTCTCATAGGCCCCCACCTCCAATTACCATCCCATTGGGGATTTAGCCTTCAGCATAAGAAATTTTGGAAGGACGTATTTGCCCGTAGCAGTAGAAATAGAAATCTTGAATGTTTTACTGGGCTTCTGTAAACACAGAAGATGACTGATGAGTCCCTCAGCAGCTTAAATGAGATAAGATAGAAATGAACAAAGCAAAAGAAAGCAAATGAACAAAGCAAAAGAAATTAGTATTCATATTTTTCCTCACTTTTATTCTCTCTTGTGCACATAGACTTTCCAGTATTTATCCAGAATTTTCACAGGCCAAGAGAGAAGAGAGGTTTGTGGCTGCGTTTGAACCTAGGAAAGGACTTTGAGAACTCAGGATGCCTGGAACCAGCTGTGCAGTGCGTCTGCCTCCTGGACTTGGCAGCAGGGCCCCACTTTCACTGACTTTGCCCATAGTCCTCATAATTGTAGTAGGTGTCTCCTGCTACAGATCTTGATACGTGTTTGAGAAAATGTGATCTCTATGAGGAAGCAAGAAAAGGTAAGAAGGACTATAGCAGAAAGCAGAGAATTCCGAGTCCAGTTTGGAGAGAGTGAGGAAGTCAACTGGAAAGGTCTCTCATGATAAAGGATCCAGGTGTTGCCAGCAGTGCTGGGGCAGGCCCCGGGGCTGAACCCGCCACTGGATGTAGCCTGTGGCACTCCTCGGGTGACCTTTGCCTCAGCAAACTTAGGGTAGTTTTTTTTTTTTTTTTTTTTCCTGCTCCCATACCTGACTCCTAGATAGGAGGTTTCTCTTGTCCTGGAGAATCTTAAGAGAAGTATGTCTATGTTCTTGGAATCAGGAGAGCTCAGTTACTTGGGGGTGGAAACTGAGTCTTTTATAATTTCCATGGAACCTTTGCACCTTGTAGGTACTCAATAATTAATTGTCAGTTTGCTGAATATGTCCATAAATCTTATACTTAAGAGTTTATGCTATAATGCTGGTAGATGGATTTTATCTTCGTGAATAAGAATCTTTCACATGTAACTTATTTTTCTACAGCAGAAGCAAATTTCAGGATGTAATTTCAATTTTACAAAAAATGTACCTTTTTTGAATATAGCAATCTAATTTCTCTTTTAAACCCATTCTGTGAGTCGGCAGAAATTTATCGCAGAGACATTGCAGAGGTGAGACGGAGACTCTCAGTTGCCCTTGAGCTTTCCTGGCCCTGCTCTCTGCACCTCACAGACTTCCCCAGCGGGGCGGCCCCCAGGCCTTGTGTCCTCCTGCTCCCACATGTGCTAAGTGGCACCTTAGGGGGCCCTTGCCGCCCAGACAGTCCATGCAGACCTTTCTTTTCTGAGACGCAGCTACGTCCCCGAGCTCTTTGTGGAAGACAGGGAAAGTGATGGTCTGCTCTAAGATGCCCCAGCCACCTGAGGGTCCATCACCCTTCCTCTGGGGGGTGAGGCAGAGGACCCTGTTTCTGTAGGGCTCCCAGTTTCTCTGTGCCCCTGGCTTCCTCTCGCCTTTCCTGGTTCCAGGAGCTGCTGTCCAGTCGTGCTCTGGCAGATCTGAGTTCTTTGAAGTTCTTCTGGGGGTTAAACCTAAACTCAGAAGCCAGAACTCGGTAATATTACCCTCTGATCCTGTACCTGTCATTGTGGGATGTCCTAAATGACTAAAGAGGGCGGGGCAAGGCAGTAAAGGGGAAGAACAGCAGAACTGCAGTCAGCAGTTCAGATATTACCTCACCGCATTTCTTATAAAGATTCGCCTTCTAACACCTTTAAGGACTTGTTTTCCTTAACATTCTTTTAAACTTGGTTTCTTCCTGTAGCTTTACATGTATAAATACAATTATTCCTATTCTTCATTATGCTGAGGTCTCAGGATGGTTGTGCGTCTCTAACAGACGGGAGATACTGCAGTAGAATTTGCAGCACTTGGCCCTGTGTGCAGGCGGGAGTCAACACTGAGCCACCACCCCACCAAGCAAGAAATGGTGTATATATATCTCAATACGGATGGATGGATAGACAGACATTATTTAGACAAAGTCACATGAACTATACAGTTCACCCATTTAAGGTGTACAATTTAATGGCTCTGAACACAGAGTTGTTGTTCAGCCACAATCAATTTTAGAACCTTTTTGTCACCTCAAAAAGAAACCTCTACCTCTTATGCAGTCTCCCTCCCCCCAGCCCCAGCCCCACACTCCTCAGCCCCTGTCTACCACTCATCCATTTTCTGCCTCTGTAGATTTCTTTGTTCTGAACATTTCATAAACATGACATCGCACAGTTTGTGGCCTTTCGTGTCTGGCATCATTCACTGAGCACTGTGTTTCCCAGGTTCTCAGTGGCTGAGGGTTGTGTGGATGGACGATGTTTTGTTTGTCTGTCATCAGCTGAGAGACACTTGGTAGTTTCACTTTTTGGCCCTGTGAATAATGCTGCTATGAACCTTTCTTTACAAGTGTTTGTGTGGACCTGCTTAGCAATTTCCTTAAATATGTGGAATGACATCCCCCTCGGATGTTAGTAACTAAAGCTTTTCTGTTTTTTTGATATGTACCTTTTGCCATGATAAGAAGCTGTCATTGAATTCAGGAGTTTCAAGAATTGTGTGTAAAAAACATTTGGAATAAAAACCTCCACCTTAAGATGCAAAAGGGTAAAAAAGAAATTCTCCAGAAAGATTAATTGAAGAAAAAAGCAAAAAACATCTCACAGTCAGCACTTGTCAAATGAGGCCTGGTGGTCAGAGCCCACTCTGTGCTCCTAGCACGTGAGTCTTCAGGAGTCAGGCCTTGAAGAGTGTCTGCCATTCGTTCCGAGACAGGAAGTAAGAGATGATTGGCCAGGAGGCTGCAGCTGCAAGTCCCAAGAGCAGCGCCTGGCGCCAGCTGCCACCCTCAGGCTTGGAGCAGAGAAGAGATGGAAACCAAATAACCGAGGGCCTGGCTCAGGACCTTCACGCAGTTTTCAAGAAATTCATCTTTTCTTGCCGTTTTCCCTGTGTTAAGTGAGTCAGGAAATTGAAAAACAGAAAAAATAAGCGTGAAAGTAGGTAGTTGACTCTCATATTTATTCAGTTATTTTTAAAGAGTTTATCCTACTGATATGAGTAAAATAAAATTTTCGTTAGGAATAATAAGAGCTTATTTTCTATCTAGACATACAGTGTCTTGTTTTGCCATTTGATAAGAACATGGTTCATGCGGTCTGAGTAATTTGTTTACTCTCAGTTTTAATTAAAATTTTTTTTAAGAATGATTTTTTATACTTGATTTAGTCCTAAAAGCTAAGAAAGCCTCAATTCAGGTACTGCTTACATACACTATTTTAATTATATTAATGTTAAAAGAGTGATTAAATCTATTAGGAATCACTGAGATTAGTATTTCAGAGACATCTAATGAAAGCGGTTTGACTAACGTAAATTATTCCAAGATGATGGTAGTATCTACAGGGGCGGGGGGGTGGGATTTAAATTCAGCCTTGCCTGGCTGTGCTCCTGTCTCATCCGGCTCTGTGATTCTTTGAATGTGAGCGCGTTCTTAGAAGATAGTCTAATTTTATGAACTGACAGTTGTAACTCAGAGCCATGCTGTTTCCTTAGGTAAATACTGTGTGGGCTTTTAGACAGCTGTCAGATACAGCATGGGAATCTCAGATGAGTGCAGGTGTTAACTGCAGTGCTGCTGGGTTGGTGAGTTCTGCCCTCATGGAGCATCTTTACCAACATGGGAGGTTTTGGCTCCTCCTGCCCCTGCTAAAGGAGGCTGAGGAGTAGCTGGACATGAGTAGAAGCTGCACTGGCGCTCGCTTACGTTCTGTAAGACTGTGCCCAACTACAATCGGAAGACTTCTAGTGAAGAGAAAGAATTTTAGTTATAAAATCAAACTAGGCCTTTTGGACCAAAGAAAATCAGTTTATTTTTGCTGTTTTGTTTACTAATAAATAACAATGTATTCATAATGTTTTCCCTCTGTTTAGATTTCCGCCAACTTGTAGGACAAGCACCCTGATGAAGCAATATCTGAAACTTAAAATAGCAGTTTTGTTCATACAAGTATCATTTTACATAACTGCCAATAAACCCTAGTAAATGAACCTTCCTTAGCATATAAACACAAAAACAGTTGAGCTGTTTACTGTTCAATATTTACTGTCAGGTTTTAGGAACTTTAAGAACTGGTTTTTCCAGTTTCCTGGTTCCCATCAGATGCCCTGGGACCCTGGACTCTATGGCCTCAGCAGGAAGAGCTCAGCTTTCCTTGTCTTTTATTCCAGAGCACCTTAAACCCTATTTCCAAAATACAGGCTACTTTTATTTACGAATTTTATTCATTGGGTTGGACAAGCCAAAGGCCATACCTTTCAATCATATTGAAGTGGTGATGTGAGCCTTAGACCTGGGGCCAACCCTCTGTCACGCTGACTTGGGCTCCCAGAATGTTCCCTAAATTCCAGAGTTCCTTAGGGAAGGAGAGTCACCAGGTGACTTTCTCTGTTGCTGAAAAGATAACCTCAGATCCTCAGATTTTACTCCTGCAGGCTGTGAAAATGTTCTGTCTCCCAATGTAACCCCAGTTAGCTTAAATTAGTTGTTTTTTCTGTTTGATTAGTAATTTGAAAATTGGTCTTTGTTACCAAGCTTTTCACAAGTCCCAAGGTTACCGCACAGTGTTTTTGGTATGGACCTCCTAACAGAAATTTGCCGAGAAGAGGTGTAATTTACTTTATAAAGCTTACGTTATAATTAGAAAAGTAAAAGCACAAGGCAAACAGGCCTGAGAAGCACTTTTACAGTATATTATCTGGGAAATAAGAATTTTGCAATGAACACACTTTTAAAATAGTATCTTCTGTCTCCCAGACCTCCAGAAGCACAGGAAAAGAGCATAGGTGTTCTTGTTGATGCCGGATATAAATGCCCAGGTACCAAATCACGGAATATGCAAACCCAGCATCCCAGAGCCCCCAGCACCAACATGGTGCTGCTGGCATGCCAGATCATTCCTCAGTTCTACCTGGATTGTTTACACGGTGCTGCTGGCATGCCAGATCATTCCTCAGTTCTACCTGGATTTTTTACCCTCACTTCTGCTTAGAGTAGCAGCAAAAGAAAGCCTTGTTGAGGAAACTGAATGTCTATAAAAAGCATCTTGGGTTAAACTTCCCCTCTGGTCCTGACACCACTCCCCGCAGTAAGTTCTCTGACTTGGCAAGAGCACGTCTCAGGTTGTGTCCTACTGGCTCCTCGCCCCTCAAATCCTCCATTGGTTGTTTTGCCCATTTTGGATTTGATCATATGTGTAATTCTTTGAGGTAGAGAAATAAAAGAGGTAAATTATACGTAAATTGTGAAATGGGAGCATGGCAAGTTTGGTTGACTTTTAGCTTGAATGAACCTGACAGAAGTCGGTGTATTTAGGAAGAACAGGGTGAACTGGTGTGGACCCAGCAAGTTCCATTTCAGCCATTTACTCTGCCCGAGACGAGATCTCATTGCTTCTTGATGCTCTTGCACCAGGAGTTTGCAAGTTCCTGCTTGGAACAGAATTGTTTAATGTTTATTGTTGACTCGTTGAGGCTTTCTTTCACTGAAAAACTTACCCACACGTAACACTCGTTCAGAGCACACCCTGACTTCTAAGAATGAACACGTCTTGTCATTTAGGCCAGGTTATTTTCAAGAGCAAACTTTTCAGTTTTCAGTATGGGAAATAATCACCTTTCTTCTTCCCTTCACTCAGTGTTAGTGCCATGAATAGGGCATTGTTGGTCGGGTGTCTGACCCAGGATGGCATCTGTTAGATGAACGGGTGATGTCACTTTACATTCCTAAGGAGTATTCACCTGTCCTTGTTGCAGCATGTCATAGCAGCTTTACCCGTGAAGGGCCGTCAGAGCACATCAGTAGATGATAGTTTGGTGCCATCTGTCTTTATTTCCATTATACTTTAATTTCTTGAGGATAGGACTTCCACATTTGCACTTGGTTCAGTAGTTGTCAGCTGTTGGTGACTGAGCTGAACCAAATCCAGTTCTTCATTGCACAGATGAGATCACCACAACCCACAGAAGTGGCATCACCTGCTTTCAGCCCCTTGGCCAGGTGGTGAGAGAGCTGGGGCTTCCAGTTCAGGGCTCCCTCTGCTGTAACTCAGGGATGGTCCCTAAGCTGGTGGTTAAAGTGTTCATATGAAGTAGGTCCAATCTGTGGTTGTTGCTGTAATCAGTGTGTCAGCACAGAGTTCCGCAATTTCAGTATCTTTCTAAATAACCGACTGTGGAATGTTTGTAATCACACAGCACATAGGCAACAGGGCCTCACAAAGCAAAGGCCTTGTGAAGTCCATTCCTTCAGGGTGGAAACTGACTGTTGGCAAAACACAGTTCTCAGGTTATCTGTTGTTCTTAACAACAAGCGTCTCAGGTCAGGGTAGGCTTATTGTGGTTTGCTTTTGCCTACAAAGGACGTATGTTGAGTAAGAATCTTGGCCTATTACACAGTAAGTTAATAATTGTGTCCTTGCAAATAAGCATTGTGTTCTAAAATGGAATCAGCATATTTCCCTATAAAGACACTTCCACTCATTCATTAATTGAGCAGCCCCAGTTGATAAAGAATCAGTATATCATGTTCTGATATTTAATCAGCAAACTCATTTATTCAGTAGAAATTTGAATTCCTGTGATGTGCCAGACTTGTGAGGAGGGGTACAGAGAAGATATGGCAAGGAGGTCCTTCAGAGAGCTCAGAGTCCTAAGAAAGTAAGTACAGCGGGCGAGAACTGCATAGGAGACGCACAGGGCACGGCGGGATGCAGGGACGAGGGATGGTCCCTGTCTGGGCATAGAAGATGTCTCAGAGACTCCAAGGAGGAAGTGACTTCTGGACTAGATCGATAAAGGGTGGGTAGGATTTAATGAGTCAGAGGTAAGAACAAGGGAAGGAGCGGGACTGTTTGTGAAGAGAGAGCATAGAAATTCCCTGGGGTGTTTGGGAGCCACAGATGGGTGGCCCTAAAAAGGCCAGAGAATTCAGTGAGAAGCCTTGCCCAGATACACGGGGAGCTGTAATGAATTACCTGGGACAGCAGAACTGGAGGTGGAGATGAAGAGAGAGATGGCAGGTCATGTTCAGGAAGTGAAATTGCTAGGCCCTCATCATTATTACAGCATGAGATACAAGGAGGAGGCCCTAGTGTGGTTACTATTTCTCTAGTTCGGGTCTCTAAGGTAGGTTAACAGACAAGGGGAGGAGGTGATGAAGTCAGCTTTGTGAGGACTGTGTATGAGATCTGTTTCCAGACAGATCTGGAAGTGTGAAGCTTGTAAGAGAGTTTGGCATTGAAGATTTGGGAAGCATAAGACATATGTCTTTGTAAATAGATAAGAATGAGGTTCAGTTGAGAGATACACATATAGTGTGATAAGGACAGTAAGCCAAGGGGAATAACACCTTCATTGAAGGACCAGCAGAAAGACAGTGAACACAGAGATCATAGTGTCGAGGAACACGGGGGTGGGGGGGAGGCGGGCAGCGGGGCGTTAGAGGAATGGTAGAGCAGAGAGCGCTGGCATGCGGGGATGACCACGTGCAGCAGAGCGGTATGCAAGAAAAGACCGGTAAGTACCCACTGGGCCTGAACCTTGGTCACTGCTCACCTTGTTAAGAACAATTCCAGGAGATTGGAGGAGCGGAGGCTGATTGGAGTGGTTTGGTTACGGATGAGTGGTGAGGCAGGAGAGACAGTGAGATCATCTTTTGAGGCGTTCGAATGTGAACCGAAAATCTGGACTAGCCAGATGGGAACATGGAGAGGAAGGAGGAGCGCCTGCTTGGTAAGAAATAGAAGTCTGAGTGCTTGGCACAGGGGTTTCGGTAACCCCCTAGAGAAGAGGAGGAAGTGCCTGTTTCCGTGTAGAGCAAGCGGGGAATGCCACTTTGTGCTTTGCACACGCGTCCCTAAACCCAGACGCCTGGGAGAACACAGGCTCACGCTGCTCTGTGCTGTGCACACGCGTCCCTAAACCCAGACGCCCGGGAGAACACAGGCTCACGCTGCTCGGTGCTGTGCACACGCGTCCCTAAACCCAGACGCCCGGGAGAACACAGGCTCACGCTGCTCGGTGCTGTGCACACGCGTCCCTAAACCCAGACGCCCGGGAGAACACAGGCTCACGCTGCTCGGTGCTGTGCACACGCGTCCCTAATCCCAGACGCCCGGGAGAACACAGGCTCACGCTGCTCGGTGCTGTGCACACGCGTCCCTAATCCCAGACGCCCGGGAGAACACGGGCTCACGCTGCTCGGTGCTGTGCACACGCGTCCCTAAACCCAGACGCCCGGGAGAACACGGGCTCACGCTGCTCGGTGCTGTGCACACGCGTCCCTAAACCCAGACGCCCGGGAGAACACGGGCTCACGCTGCTCGGTGCTGTGCACACGCGTCCCTAAACCCAGACGCCCGGGAGAACACGGGCTCACGCTGCTCGGTGCTGTGCACACGCGTCCCTAAACCCAGACGCCCGGGAGAACACGGGCTCACGCTGCTCGGTGCTGTGCACACGCGTCCCTAATCCCAGACGCCCGGGAGAACACGGGCTCACGCTGCTCGGTGCTGTGCACACGCGTCCCTAATCCCAGACGCCCGGGAGAACACAGGCTCACGCTGCTCGGTGCTGTGCACACGCGTCCCTAATCCCAGACGCCCGGGAGAACACAGGCTCACGCTGCTCGGTGCTGTGCACACGCGTCCCTAATCCCAGACGCCCGGGAGAACACAGGCTCACGCTGCTCGGTGCTGTGCACACGCGTCCCTAAACCCAGACGCCCGGGAGAACACAGGCTCACGCTGCTCGGTGCTGTGCACACGCGTCCCTAAACCCAGACGCCCGGGAGAACACAGGCTCACGCTGCTCGGTGCTGTGCACACGCGTCCCTAATCCCAGACGCCCGGGAGAACACAGGCTCACGCTGCTCGGTGCTGTGCACACGCGTCCCTAAACCCAGACGCCCGGGAGAACACAGGCTCACGCTGCTCGGTGCTGTGCACACGCGTCCCTAAACCCAGACGCCCGGGAGAACACAGGCTCACGCTGCTCGGTGCTGTGCACACGCGTCCCTAATCCCAGACGCCCGGGAGAACACAGGCTCACGCTGCTCGGTGCTGTGCACACGCGTCCCCTAATCCCAGACGCCCGGGAGAACACAGGCTCACGCTGCTCGGTGCTGTGCACACGCGTCCCTAATCCCAGACGCCCGGGAGAACACAGGCTCACGCTGCTCGGTGCTGTGCACACGCGTCCCTAATCCCAGACGCCCGGGAGAACACAGGCTCACGATGTTCGGTTTTGTGCACACGCGTCCCTAATCCCAGACGCCCGGGAGAACACGGGCTCACGTTGCTTGGTGCTGTGCACACGTGTCCCTAATCCCAGACGCCCGGGAGAACACGGGCTCACGCTGCTTGGTGCTGTGCACACGCGTCCCTAAACCCAGACGCCCGGGAGAACACGGGCTCACGCTGCTTGGTGCTGTGCACACGCGTCCTTAAACCCAGACGCCCGGGAGAACACGGGCTCACGCTGCTCGGTGCTGTGCACACGCGTCCCTAAACCCAGACGCCTGGGAGAACATGGGCTCACGCTGCTCGGTGCTGTGCACACGCGTCCCTAAACCCAGACGCCCGGGAGAACACGGGCTCACGCTGCTCGGTGCTGTGCACACGCGTCCCTGATCCCAGACGCCCGGGAGAACACAGGCTCACGCTGCTCGGTGCTGTGCACACGCGTCCCTGATCCCAGACGCCCGGGAGAACACAGGCTCACGCTGCTCGGTGCTGTGCACACGCGTCCCTGATCCCAGACGCCCGGGAGAACACAGGCTCACGCTGCTCGGTGCTGTGCACACGCGTCCCTGATCCCAGACGCCCGGGAGAACACAGGCTCACGCTGCTCGGTGCTGTGCACACGCGTCCCTGATCCCAGACGCCCGGGAGAACACAGGCTCACGCTGCTCGGTGCTGTGCACACGCGTCCCTAAACCCAGACGCCCGGGAGAACACAGGCTCACGCTGCTCGGTGCTGTGCACACGCGTCCCTAAACCCAGACGCCCGGGAGAACACAGGCTCACGCTGCTCGGTGCTGTGCACACGCGTCCCTAATCCCAGACGCCCGGGAGAACACAGGCTCACGCTGCTCGGTGCTGTGCACACGCGTCCCTAATCCCAGACGCCCGGGAGAACACAGGCTCACGCTGCTCGGTGCTGTGCACACGCGTCCCTAAACCCAGACGCCCGGGAGAACACAGGCTCACGCTGCTCGGTGCTGTGCACACGCGTCCCTAAACCCAGACGCCCGGGAGAACACAGGCTCACGCTGCTCGGTGCTGTGCACACGCGTCCCTAAACCCAGACGCCCGGGAGAACACAGGCTCACGCTGCTCGGTGCTGTGCACACGCGTCCCTAAACCCAGACGCCCGGGAGAACACAGGCTCACGCTGCTCGGTGCTGTGCACACGCGTCCCTGATCCCAGACGCCCGGGAGAACACAGGCTCACGCTGCTCGGTGCTGTGCACACGCGTCCCTGATCCCAGACGCCCGGGAGAACACAGGCTCACGCTGCTCGGTGCTGTGCACACGCGTCCCTGATCCCAGACGCCCGGGAGGACGAATCTCTAGATTCGCTCATATTCTGATGAATCAGCTTGAATTCGTTCTCTGTGCTGTGCACACGCGTCCCTAAACCCAGACGCCCGGGAGAACACAGGCTCACGCTGCTCGGTGCTGTGCACACGCGTCCCTAAACCCAGACGCCCGGGAGAACACAGGCTCACGCTGCTCGGTGCTGTGCACACGCGTCCCTAAACCCAGACGCCCGGGAGAACACAGGCTCACGCTGCTCGGTGCTGTGCACACGCGTCCCTAATCCCAGACGCCCGGGAGAACACAGGCTCAGGCTGCTCGGTGCTGTGCACACGCGTCCCTAATCCCAGACGCCCGGGAGAACACAGGCTCACGCTGCTCGGTGCTGTGCACACGCGTCCCTAATCCCAGACGCCCGGGAGAACACAGGCTCACGCTGCTCGGTGCTGTGCACACGCGTCCCTAAACCCAGACGCCCGGGAGAACACAGGCTCACGCTGCTCGGTGCTGTGCACACGCGTCCCTAAACCCAGACGCCCGGGAGAACACAGGCTCACGCTGCTCGGTGCTGTGCACACGCGTCCCTAATCCCAGACGCCCGGGAGAACACAGGCTCACGCTGCTCGGTGCTGTGCACACGCGTCCCTAAACCCAGACGCCCGGGAGAACACAGGCTCACGCTGCTCGGTGCTGTGCACACGCGTCCCTAATCCCAGACGCCCGGGAGAGCACCGGCTCACGCTGCTCGGTGCTGTGCACACGCGTCCCTAATCCCAGACGCCCGGGAGAACACAGGCTCACGCTGCTCGGTGCTGTGCACACGCGTCCCTAATCCCAGACGCCCGGGAGAACACAGGCTCACGCTGCTCGGTGCTGTGCACACGCGTCCCTAAACCCAGACGCCCGGGAGAACACAGGCTCACGCTGCTCGGTGCTGTGCACACGCGTCCCTAATCCCAGACGCCCGGGAGAACACAGGCTCACGCTGCTCGGTGCTGTGCACACGCGTCCCTAATCCCAGACGCCCGGGAGAACACAGGCTCACGCTGCTCGGTGCTGTGCACACGCGTCCCTAAACCCAGACGCCCGGGAGAACACAGGCTCACGCTGCTCGGTGCTGTGCACACGCGTCCCTAAACCCAGACGCCCGGGAGAACACAGGCTCACGCTGCTCGGTGCTGTGCACACGCGTCCCTAATCCCAGACGCCCGGGAGAACACAGGCTCACGCTGCTCGGTGCTGTGCACACGCGTCCCTAAACCCAGACGCCCGGGAGAACACAGGCTCACGCTGCTCGGTGCTGTGCACACGCGTCCCTAAACCCAGACGCCCGGGAGAACACAGGCTCACGCTGCTCGGTGCTGTGCACACGCGTCCCTAAACCCAGACGCCCGGGAGAACACAGGCTCACGCTGCTCGGTGCTGTGCACACGCGTCCCTAAACCCAGACGCCCGGGAGAACACAGGCTCACGCTGCTCGGTGCTGTGCACACGCGTCCCTAATCCCAGACGCCCGGGAGAACACAGGCTCACGCTGCTCGGTGCTGTGCACACGCGTCCCTAATCCCAGACGCCCGGGAGAACACAGGCTCACGCTGCTCGGTGCTGTGCACACGCGTCCCTAATCCCAGACGCCCGGGAGAGCACCGGCTCACGCTGCTCGGTGCTGTGCACACGCGTCCCTAATCCCAGACGCCCGGGAGAACACAGGCTCACGCTGCTCGGTGCTGTGCACACGCGTCCCTAATCCCAGACGCCCGGGAGAACACAGGCTCACGCTGCTCGGTGCTGTGCACACGCGTCCCTAAACCCAGACGCCCGGGAGAACACAGGCTCACGCTGCTCGGTGCCGTGCACACGCGTCCCTAAACCCAGACGCCCGGGAGAACACAGGCTCACGCTGCTCGGTGCCGTGCACACGCGTCCCTAAACCCAGACGCCCGGGAGAACACAGGCTCACGCTGCTCGGTGCCGTGCACACGCGTCCCTAATCCCAGACGCCCGGGAGAACACAGGCTCACGCTGCTCGGTGCCGTGCACACGCGTCCCTAAACCCAGACGCCCGGGAGAACACAGGCTCACGCTGCTCGGTGCCGTGCACACGCGTCCCTAACCCCAGACGCCCGGGAGAACACAGGCTCACGCTGCTCGGTGCCGTGCACACGCGTCCCTAATCCCAGACGCCCGGGAGAACACAGGCTCACGCTGCTCGGTGCCGTGCACACGCGTCCCTAATCCCAGACGCCCGGGAGAACACAGGCTCACGCTGCTCGGTGCCGTGCACACGCGTCCCTAAACCCAGACGCCCGGGAGAACACAGGCTCACGCTGCTCGGTGCTGTGCACACGCGTCCCTAAACCCAGACGCCCGGGAGAACACAGGCTCACGCTGCTCGGTGCTGTGCACACGCGTCCCTAAACCCAGACGCCCGGGAGAACACAGGCTCACGCTGCTCGGTGCTGTGCACACGCGTCCCTAATCCCAGACGCCCGGGAGAACACAGGCTCACGCTGCTCGGTGCTGTGCACACGCGTCCCTAATCCCAGACGCCCGGGAGAACACAGGCTCACGCTGCTCGGTGCTGTGCACACGCGTCCCTAATCCCAGACGCCCGGGAGAACACGGGCTCACGCTGCTCGGTGCTGTGCACACGCGTCCCTAAACCCAGACGCCCGGGAGAACACGGGCTCACGCTGCTCGGTGCTGTGCACACGCGTCCCTAAACCCAGACGCCCGGGAGAACACGGGCTCACGCTGCTCGGTGCTGTGCACACGCGTCCCTAAACCCAGACGCCCGGGAGAACACGGGCTCACGCTGCTCGGTGCTGTGCACACGCGTCCCTAAACCCAGACGCCCGGGAGAACACGGGCTCACGCTGCTCTGTGCTGTGCACACGCGTCCCTAAACCCAGACGCCCGGGAGAACACAGGCTCACGCTGCTCGGTGCTGTGCACACGCGTCCCTAAACCCAGACGCCCGGGAGAACACAGGCTCACGCTGCTCGGTGCTGTGCACACGCGTCCCTAAACCCAGACGCCCGGGAGAACACAGGCTCACGCTGCTCGGTGCTGTGCACACGCGTCCCTAATCCCAGACGCCCGGGAGAACACAGGCTCACGCTGCTCGGTGCTGTGCACACGCGTCCCTAATCCCAGACGCCCGGGAGAACACAGGCTCACGCTGCTCGGTGCTGTGCACACGCGTCCCTAATCCCAGACGCCCGGGAGAACACAGGCTCACGCTGCTCGGTGCTGTGCACACGCGTCCCTAATCCCAGACGCCCGGGAGAACACAGGCTCACGCTGCTCGGTGCTGTGCACACGCGTCCCTAATCCCAGACGCCCGGGAGAACACAGGCTCACGCTGCTCGGTGCTGTGCACACGCGTCCCTAATCCCAGACGCCCGGGAGAACACAGGCTCACGCTGCTCGGTGCTGTGCACACGCGTCCCTAAACCCAGACGCCCGGGAGAACACAGGCTCACGCTGCTCGGTGCTGTGCACACGCGTCCCTAATCCCAGACGCCCGGGAGAACACAGGCTCAGGCTGCTCGGTGCTGTGCACACGCGTCCCTAAACCCAGACGCCCGGGAGAACACAGGCTCACGCTGCTCGGTGCTGTGCACACGCGTCCCTAAACCCAGACGCCCGGGAGAACACAGGCTCACGCTGCTCGGTGCTGTGCACACGCGTCCCTAATCCCAGACGCCCGGGAGAACACAGGCTCACGCTGCTCGGTGCTGTGCACACGCGTCCCTAAACCCAGACGCCCGGGAGAACACAGGCTCACGCTGCTCGGTGCTGTGCACACGCGTCCCTAATCCCAGACGCCCGGGAGAACACAGGCTCACGCTGCTCGGTGCTGTGCACACGCGTCCCTAAACCCAGACGCCCGGGAGAACACAGGCTCACGCTGCTCGGTGCTGTGCACACGCGTCCCTAAACCCAGACGCCCGGGAGAACACCGGCTCACGCTGCTCGGTGCTGTGCACACGCGTCCCTAAACCCAGACGCCCGGGAGAACACAGGCTCACGCTGCTCGGTGCTGTGCACACGCGTCCCTAATCCCAGACGCCCGGGAGAACACAGGCTCACGCTGCTCGGTGCTGTGCACACGCGTCCCTAATCCCAGACGCCCGGGAGAACACAGGCTCACGCTGCTCGGTGCTGTGCACACGCGTCCCTAATCCCAGACGCCCGGGAGAACACAGGCTCACGCTGCTCGGTGCTGTGCACACGCGTCCCTAAACCCAGACGCCCGGGAGAACACAGGCTCACGCTGCTCGGTGCTGTGCACACGCGTCCCTAAACCCAGACGCCCGGGAGAACACAGGCTCACGCTGCTCGGTGCTGTGCACACGCGTCCCTAATCCCAGACGCCCGGGAGAACACAGGCTCACGCTGCTCGGTGCTGTGCACACGCGTCCCTAATCCCAGACTCCCGGGAGAACAGAGGCTCACGCTGCTCGGTGCTGTGCACACGCGTCCCTAATCCCAGACGCCCGGGAGAACACAGGCTCACGCTGCTCGGTGCTGTGCACACGCGTCCCTAAACCCAGACGCCCGGGAGAACACAGGCTCACGCTGCTCGGTGCTGTGCACACGCGTCCCTAATCCCAGACGCCCGGGAGAACACAGGCTCACGCTGCTCGGTGCTGTGCACACGCGTCCCTAAACCCAGACGCCCGGGAGAACACAGGCTCACGCTGCTCGGTGCTGTGCACACGCGTCCCTAAACCCAGACGCCCGGGAGAACACAGGCTCACGCTGCTCGGTGCTGTGCACACGCGTCCCTAAACCCAGACGCCCGGGAGAACACAGGCTCACGCTGCTCGGTGCTGTGCACACGCGTCCCTAAACCCAGACGCCCGGGAGAACACAGGCTCACGCTGCTCGGTGCTGTGCACACGCGTCCCTAATCCCAGACGCCCGGGAGAACACAGGCTCACGCTGCTCGGTGCTGTGCACACGCGTCCCTAAACCCAGACGCCCGGGAGAACACAGGCTCACGCTGCTCGGTGCTGTGCACACGCGTCCCTAATCCCAGACGCCCGGGAGAACACAGGCTCACGCTGCTCGGTGCTGTGCACACGCGTCCCTAAACCCAGACGCCCGGGAGAACACAGGCTCACGCTGCTCGGTGCTGTGCACACGCGTCCCTAAACCCAGACGCCCGGGAGAACACAGGCTCACGCTGCTCGGTGCTGTGCACACGCGTCCCTAAACCCAGACGCCCGGGAGAACACAGGCTCACGCTGCTCGGTGCTGTGCACACGCGTCCCTAAACCCAGACGCCCGGGAGAACACAGGCTCACGCTGCTCGGTGCTGTGCACACGCGTCCCTAATCCCAGACGCCCGGGAGAACACAGGCTCACGCTGCTCGGTGCTGTGCACACGCGTCCCTAATCCCAGACGCCCGGGAGAACACAGGCTCACGCTGCTCGGTGCTGTGCACACGCGTCCCTAAACCCAGACGCCCGGGAGAACACAGGCTCACGCTGCTCGGTGCTGTGCACACGCGTCCCTAAACCCAGACGCCCGGGAGAACACAGGCTCACGCTGCTCGGTGCTGTGCACACGCGTCCCTGATCCCAGACGCCCGGGAGAACACAGGCTCACGCTGCTCGGTGCTGTGCACACGCGTCCCTGATCCCAGACGCCCGGGAGAACACAGGCTCACGCTGCTCGGTGCTGTGCACACGCGTCCCTGATCCCAGACGCCCGGGAGAACACAGGCTCACGCTGCTCGGTGCTGTGCACACGCGTCCCTGATCCCAGACGCCCGGGAGAACACAGGCTCACGCTGCTCGGTGCTGTGCACACGCGTCCCTGATCCCAGACGCCCGGGAGAACACAGGCTCACGCTGCTCGGTGCTGTGCACACGCGTCCCTAAACCCAGACGCCCGGGAGAACACAGGCTCACGCTGCCTCGGTGCTGTGGGCCTGAGCGATTCAGAGATTCGTCCGTCCCTAAACCCAGACGCCCGGGAGAACACAGGCTCACGCTGCTCGGTGCTGGGCACACGCGTCCCTAATCCCAGACGCCCGGGAGAACACAGGCTCACGCTGCTCGGTGCTGTGCACACGCGTCCCTAATCCCAGACGCCCGGGAGAACACAGGCTCACGCTGCTCGGTGCTGTGCACACGCGTCCCTAAACCCAGACGCCCGGGAGAACACAGGCTCACGCTGCTCGGTGCTGTGCACACGCGTCCCTAAACCCAGACGCCCGGGAGAACACAGGCTCACGCTGCTCGGTGCTGTGCACACGCGTCCCTAAACCCAGACGCCCGGGAGAACACAGGCTCACGCTGCTCGGTGCTGTGCACACGCGTCCCTAAACCCAGACGCCCGGGAGAACACAGGCTCACGCTGCTCGGTGCTGTGCACACGCGTCCCTGATCCCAGACGCCCGGGAGAACACAGGCTCACGCTGCTCGGTGCTGTGCACACGCGTCCCTGATCCCAGACGCCCGGGAGAACACAGGCTCACGCTGCTCGGTGCTGTGCACACGCGTCCCTGATCCCAGACGCCCGGGAGAACACAGGCTCACGCTGCTCGGTGCTGTGCACACGCGTCCCTGATCCCAGACGCCCGGGAGAACACAGGCTCACGCTGCTCGGTGCTGTGCACACGCGTCCCTGATCCCAGACGCCCGGGAGAACACAGGCTCACGCTGCTCGGTGCTGTGCACACGCGTCCCTGAACCCAGACGCCCGGGAGAACACAGGCTCACGCTGCTCGGTGCTGTGCACACGCGTCCCTGAACCCAGACGCCCGGGAGAACACAGGCTCACGCTGCTCGGTGCTGTGCACACGCGTCCCTGAACCCAGACGCCCGGGAGAACACAGGCTCACGCTGCTCGGTGCTGTGCACACGCGTCCCTGAACCCAGACGCCCGGGAGAACACAGGCTCACGCTGCTCGGTGCTGTGCACACGCGTCCCTAATCCCAGACGCCCGGGAGAACACAGGCTTACGCTGCTCGGTGCTGTGCACACGCGTCCCTAATCCCAGACGCCCGGGAGAACACAGGCTCACGCTGCTCGGTGCTGTGCACACGCGTCCCTAAACCCAGACGCCCGGGAGAACACAGGCTCACGCTGCTCGGTGCTGTGCACACGCGTCCCTGATCCCAGACGCCCGGGAGAACACAGGCTCACGCTGCTCGGTGCTGTGCACACGCGTCCCTGATCCCAGACGCCCGGGAGAACACAGGCTCACGCTGCTCGGTGCTGTGCACACGCGTCCCTGATCCCAGACGCCCGGGAGAACACAGGCTCACGCTGCTCGGTGCTGTGCACACGCGTCCCTAAACCCAGACGCCCGGGAGAACACAGGCTCACGCTGCTCGGTGCTGTGCACACGCGTCCCTAAACCCAGACGCCCGGGAGAACACAGGCTCACGCTGCTCGGTGCTGTGCACACGCGTCCCTAATCCCAGACGCCCGGGAGAACACAGGCTCACGCTGCTCGGTGCTGTGCACACGCGTCCCTAATCCCAGACGCCTGGGAGAACACAGGCTCACGCTGCTCTCTGCTGTGCACACGCGTCCCTAAACCCAGACGCCCGGGAGAACACAGGCTCACGCTGCTCGGTGCTGTGCACACGCGTCCCTAATCCCAGATGCCTGGGAGAGCACCATTCATTCTGGATGGCAGAGAAACCCTTAGAACAGAGCAGTTAACTGAAGAAGTTGAAACCAAAAGGGAAATGTTTATGTTTTGAGTCAGTCAGCCCTTTCAAGCTATGACCTTTTTACCAGCTTAATGTTTGTTTCTTGGTTTAGAGTTTATATTTAATACCTGATAGAGTTGCCATAAAATGCTCATTTCTGTCTGTGGAATTTTCCTTGGTTCACACACTGCAGACTTCCATCAGAGATCACAGCCCAGGTGTTGAAAGAACGCTCTTGCCATTTATTTATTTATTTATTAATCTTTAGCATACCCAGAATAGCTGTAGCACATCTGATCTAAGTTTTCTTTCTATAAGGATTCTTTAACCCCGAGCAGTTTCTAAGAGGAGCTTGAGACTTGAGAGCCCAAGGCTTTTGATTTGGGCTTGACCTGTGGACACCTGGCACACACCCTGCCACCCGCTAGAAGGATGTGTAACTCAGAGTCCTCTTCACCATCACCCCTCCCTGAGGACTTGTTTCCGTTCATGTCCCACAGTAAAGTTTATTGTCAGTTCATTCCGTTTGTTGAAAACAGTAAAAAAATACGTTGAGCGCCTATTCTATGCCAGACTCTGTGAAGAGAATGGGTATCAGTGAGAGACGCCAACCCTTGTCAGATCTGCAGCCTAGGGGGGGAAGAGACAGGAGGCAGGAAGCAGAACCACATTCTAGCAGGGGAAATGGACAGGAAGCAGGAAGCAGAACCAGGAAGCGGTGGCGTAGACGGGCCTGCAAAGGGGCAGCCAGTGCCCTAGAAAGCAGAGAAGCAGGGCTGAGCCCTGAGCTCCTGGTTGTGGGCGGGGTGGGCTGCACCTGAGCCCCGAGCTTCCGGTTGTGGGCAGGGTGGGCTGCACCTTTATTTGGCCACATTAAAAAGGGGCTATTTGAGCTAAGACTTGAAAAAATAAGAGAATTAACTATTCAGCTTTCTGTGAGAAGAGCGTGCTAAGTAGATGGCCAGTGCCAAGGGTGGGGGTGTGCCTGTGTCAGGCAAATCAGGAGGAGCAAGGGACGGGGCCGGAGCCATGGGCCCAGGCAGCCTTGGTGAGGGGTTTCTCTGGCGTTTATGCTGAGGGAAATGGGAACCTTGCTCAAGACATGGAACGAAGGAATGACATGACCCAACTCACCTTTTGGAAGGATCAGCCTGCTGGCTCTGTTAAAACTAGGCTATAGTGCAGGGGTCCTTTAGTGGGGATCTGTGGTCTGAGACAGGAAAAAATATACCTGTGTTTTCACTAACTTCTAACTGAAGTTTATCATTTCCTTTATGATATAGTCAATAAAACAGTAATAATACAGCACCTGTGATTTTGTTACCAATAGAAATCAGATATTTTCATTACAGTTGGAGAAGTCCTCATATATTGTTTACTCTTATCATTTTCTCAAAACTGTGATTATTAGACCCATTGCTAGGTCTTAGGTACAGTTTTTACAGGTTGAGTATGTCTTAGCCAAAGTGCTTGGGACCAGAAGTGTTTCAGATTTCTGAATATTTCATTATACTTACCAGTTGAGCATCTCTAATCCAAAAACCTGAAATCCGAAAAGCTCCAGTGAGTATTTTGTTTCAGCGTCATGTCAGTGTTCAAAAAGTTTTGGATTTGGGAGTATTTCAGATTCTGTATTTTTAGAATGGGGTGTTCAACCTATATAAAAAGGGGGTTAAATTACTGTATCTTACATTTGATTTTTATATTATTTTGAAAACTGTCTCATAATTAATTTCTTTATAAATCCGTGTATTTTATTATACACATTAACTGTTGTTCTAAGAAAGTGTTCGTAGGCTTCCTCAGGCTGCCATAAAGATTGATAATACAAAAGAGATTTTGTTTGTTTGTTTTTCCAAATTAACCTATCCATCACCTTTTGTGTATGTGTGTGTGGTAAAAGCACCTAAAGTCTACCCTCTAGGCAGATTTTCGGTATACAGTAGAGTGTTATTAACTCTAGTCCTCGTGCCATGCATTAGATCTCTCCAGACCCATTCATCCCACATAACTGCAACTCTGTCCTTGGACTCACTTCTTCCCATTTCCTCCCTCACCCAGTAACTCCCGTTCTGCCGTCTGTTTATATGTATTTGGCGTTTTCAAGATTCCACATGCAGGTGAGATTGTGCAGTATTTGTCTGACTTTGCCTGACTTATTTCACTTAACATAGTGTTCTGCACTTCCATCCGTGTTGTTACAACATGACAGGATTTTTTTTCTTTTTTTTTTAGTAGCTGAACAGTATTCCATTTCGAATATGTACTGTTTTCTTTATCCATTCATCAGTTGATAGATGCTTAGGTTGGTTCTGTGCTTTGGCTGTTGTATAGAGTGCTGCAGGAAACATGGGTGCAGGTATCTCATCAACATACTGATTTCAGTTGCTTTGGGTCTATAACTACAAGTGAGATTGCTGGGTCATATGGTAGCTCTATTTTTAGGCTTTTGAGGAACCTCCATACTGTTTTCTATAATGGCTGTGCCAATTTACATGCCCACCAACAGTGTACAAGGGTTCCCCTTTCTCCACATCCTCACCAGCACTTATCTCTTGTCTTTTTAGATGATAGTCATCCTAGGACGTGGTGAGGTGATTTCACACCGTGGGTTTGATTTGCTTCTCCCTGGTGATTAGTGTCGGACACCTTGCGTATGCCTGCTGACCATTTGTGTACTGTCTTTAGAGAAATGTCTATTCGTGTCCTTTGCCCATGTTTTAATTGGGTTATTTGTTTTTTGCTGTCGAGTTGTGTGAGTTCCTTACATATTTTGGATGTTAGCCCCTTACTAGATGCATGGTTTGCAAATATTTTCTCCCAGTCCATAGACTGCCTTTTCATTTACTTCATTGGTCACTTTGCTGTTCAGCTAAGCTTTGCTATGTGAGGTAGTCCCACTTGTTTATTTTTGCTTTTCTTGCCTGAGCCTTGGGGGGTCACACTCCAAAATTGAGCTATAGAGAGAAACAATTTTGGAGCTGCCTCCAGGAATAGAAGACTGAGATAATTTGGACTCACTTTCTGGTTGAAGACAAATAGAAAAGCTAGCAAAACATTTTTTAAATAAAGCTATTTGAAGGTATCAGTGAACTGAAAAGGTAATAAAGAAGTCCCATGTCAATATCCTGTAGAAGACAGAGATCAAGGGAGGTCAGCTTGGCATTAGGAACCACTTATGCTCTGATGTGTTTGCCTGTCAAGAAGTAAGAAAACACAAATTAGTACTACTAGGGATAAGGCAGGGGATATTACTATAGACCCTTCTAAGAAGAAAGGGAAGCACCATAAACAACTCTACACACATGCATTCAACAACTTAGATGTAGGGGCCAAATCTCAGAAAAGCACAGGTGACCACAACCCCCCAATACCAAACAGGTTCTTTAAAGAACTTCATAACTGTTAAAGAAATTGAATCCGTAGTTTGCAAACTCCCCTCAAAAGAGGTCTCTAGCCCAGAGGTGTCACTCGGTAATTTACCATATGTTTAAAGAAGAATTAATGCTAGTTCTACATTCTCTTCCAGAAAATACAAGAAGATAGACCATTCCCCAGTGAGGCCAGTATTACCCTGACACCCAAACCAGACAAAAAAAAAATAGTGCAAAATAGAAAACTACAGGCCATTATCCCTTTTGAATGTAGGTACAAAAATCTTGAACAAAATATGAGTGAATCAAATCCAGCAATTAATTATACACTATGACCAAGTGGCTGGTTTAGTACTTAAAAATCAGTCAGTGAAACCCTCCATATTAATAGATTAAGGAAGAAAAGTCACATGATCATATGAATCATTCAGAAAAAGGATTTGACAAAATTCAGTGCCCATTCATGGTTAAAAAAAAAAAAAACTTTCAGAAAAATGATAATGGAGGAGATCTTTCTCAACTTGATAAAGAACATCTACAAAAGCCCCTACAGCCAATGTAACACATAATAGTAAAAGACTAATTGCTTTTCTCCAGTATCAGGGATATTAGGGACAGAGATGTCTGTCCTCACCACTCTTATTCAACATAGTGCTGGAAGTTCTGTCTAGTGCAGTGAGGAAAGAAAAGGAAATAAAAAGCATGCAGACAAAAAGAAGGAAACAAAACTGTCTCTATTTGCAAATGACATGATTCTCTAAATAAAAAATCCCAAGGAATCTACAAAAAAAACTAGAGCTAGGTGGGGTGTGGTGGCTCATGCCTGTAATCCCAGCACTTTGGGAGGCTGAATTAAGAGGATTACCTAAACCAAGAAGTTCAAGACCAGCCTGCGCAACATAGTAAGACCCCCATCTCTACAAAAAATTGAAAAATTAGCTGGATGTATTAGCTACTCAGGGAGCTGAGCTGGGAGGGATTGTTTGAGCCAGAGAGGTCAGGGCTCTGGTGATCCATGATCACATCACCATACTCCAGCCTGGGCAACCGAGTGAGACCCTGTCTTTAAAAAACAAACAAAAACAAACTAGATCTAGTGAGAGTTCAGCAAGGCCTCAAGCTACAAGACCTATATACCAAAAATCACTTGCATTTCTATATACTATTAATGAACATATGGAAACCTAAATTTAAAAGATAGTACCACTTAACAATTGTTTCACAAAAATGAATTACCTGGGCATAAATTAAATAAACATATACAGGATCTGTATGCTAAAAATTGCAAAATACTGATAAATCAAAGCAAACCCAAAGAAGTGGAGACACATACCGTGTTCATGTACTGGAAGGCTCAGCAGAGACGTGGGTTCCCTCCAGACTGATGTACAGGTTTGATGTACTTGCTAGCAAAAATCCCAGCAAGGTATTTTTTTGTAGATGCGCAAGATTATTCTAAAATTTGTATGGAAGGGCAGTGAAACTAAAAGTCACGAAAATAATCTTGAAAAAGAAAAAGAAAATGGGCAGAATCACTGTATTTGATAACATACCTTGCTATATAACTGCAGTAATCAAGACAGTATAGTGTTGGTGAAGGGACAGACACAAGGTCAATGAAACAGAATAGAGAACCCAGACATAGACCCACACAAGTACCACCAGTGGATTTGGACAAGGTGCAAAAGCAACTCATTGGAGGAAGGCAGCCTATTTAGCCAATGTGACTGGAGCACTGGATACCCATAAGCCAAAAAAAGAAAAAAAAAAAAAAAAGGACCTTGTCTTTGGCCTCACACTTTTGTAAAATTAACTCAAATGGAAAATGAAATTAACTGTAAAACATAAAACTATTACACTTTTGGGAAAAAAATAGAAGATCTTTGGTATCTAGGGTCAGGCAAAGAGTTCTTAGACTTCATACCAAAAGCATAATCTATAAAAGGAAAAGTTGATAAATTGGAAACATTTTTAATTCAACATTTTAAATTCAAAATTAAAAATGTCGCTCTATTAGGATAAGGAAAAGACAACCTACTGCCAGGGAGAAAATACTTGCAAACCTCCTGTCTGACAGAGATCTTATACCTAGAAAATATAAAGAATCTCAGAACTCAACATTAAAAACAATCCAGTTAGAAAGTAGGCCAAAGATAGACATTTTACCAAAGACATTCAGATGGTAAATAAGTACATGAAAAGTTGTTCAACATAATTAACCATTAGGGAAATGCAAATTAAAACCACAGTGAGATAGCACTACACACGGATTAGAGCAGCTAAAATTAAAAATAAAATAGTGACACCACCAAATTCTGGCGAGGATGCAGTCCTTATACACTAGCCTCTTACATGGCTGGTGTCGGTCACTCTGGAAAACAGTTTGGCCGTTTCTTAAAAAACTAATAATGCACTTACCATCTGAACTAGCAATCACATGCCTGGGCATGAAAACTTAGGTTCATTCAAAAACCTGTGCATGAATATTCATAGCAGCTGTATTTGTAGTAGCACAGGTTGGAAGCAACCCAGATGTCTTTAAATGGACGAATGTTTAACAGGCTGGTGCATCCATGCCATGAAGCACAACTCGGCAATAAAGAGGAATGAGTGGCTGGCGCTTGGTGAGTGGCTGACGCTTGGAACCACCTGAATGGATCTCAAGGGAATTATACTGAGTAAAAAAGCCAATCCCAAAAGGTCACATATTACATGATTCTATTTATGTTACATTCTGAAAATGACAGGATAAAGAGATGGATAACAGATTAAGTTGCCAGGGATTTGGGACAGCACAAGGGAGGTCTTATGTGGAGAGACAGTTTTGTTTCTTGATGGTAGTGGCAGGGGCTACACAAACCCACCAGGTTTTGAAATTGCCTAGAACCTGAATAAGGATTGTGGATGGCACTGATGCCAGCTTCCTGGTTTGGATATTGCCCTGTAGTATGTCAGATGTTACCCTTGGTGAAGGATACATGGGGCCCTCTATCCTATCTTTGTCAATTCCTGTGAATCTATAGTCGTTTCAAAATAAAAATTAAAAAATAAATCACCAACCAAACAGATACCTAAGGTCTCAGGGACACTGGGAAATTAAAAGTTTTAGGACAGAAAAAGCTGTTCCGTGCAGCTGCTAACCCAAAGAAACCAGTGCGCCTGCATCAGAAGTGGACTTCAGGTAGAAATGGCCATGAGAGGAAGAAGGGACATTTGAGAAGAAAGGTCAGCGCCCCAGGATTATTTCCGGATTCTCTAGATCTGTAAGTTAGTATGCACAGTTTCCAGATGCATCAGATGAAAACTGACACAACTGAAAAACGAAGCAGACATATCTGTAATCACAGTGGGACGTGTGAGCACAGGGGTCCACAAACTGTAGCCAGTAGGCCAAGTCTGGCCTTTGGCCTGCTTTTGTGTGGGTCTGTGAGCTAAGAATGCTTTTTGGAGTTTTTAAAGGGTTGGTTTAAAAAAGAATATCTAACAGAAACTGTAGGGGGCCAGTGAAGCCTAAACTCTTCACTGTCTGGCCCCTGCAGAGGAAGTCTATGGAGCTTTAACAAAGCCTCTCTCAAGAGCTGATAGGACAAACAGACAGAAGGTTAGTATGGATTCGAATTGTTGAACACATTTTGAACACAGTGAACACACTCACCCTAACGGACATATAGAATCCTGCACCCAAAAGCTATAGAGTAAACACTTCTCCAGTGCATATGGGAAATCTACCAGAATTGACTAGATGACAGCTCATAAAGCAAGCTTCAGCAAATTTCAAACAATTGAAAGCATCCCTCTTTTTTCTGTCCACAGTAAGCTAGAAATCAGTAATAACAATAAGTAAAAATTCTGTTATTTGAAATTAAAATAGTACACTTCTAAATAATTCACAGGGAAAAAGCAGAAACCACAGTGGGCATTATAAAATATTTTGAATGACAGTGAAAATATTGTCCATAAAAAATGTGTGGGATGAAGCTGAAAGCTGTTCTGAGAAGGAAATTTGTAGAATTAAATGAATATACTTTAAAAAAAAGGCTGAAAATCAATGATCTAAGTATACATCTCTATAAATTAATAAAAAATCAAACTCAGGGAGTGTGGTAGGTAGGAAGGAAATAGTAAAAGCAGGAACTAGTGAAATAGGAAACAAATGGAGAATAGAGAAAGGTTTTTTTTATGTCATTCGCAGGAGTTCTCCCTCCTTGCTGGTGGGAATTCAAAGTGGTGCAGCCACTCTGGATGGCCATGAGGTGGTTTCTTAACAAAGCTAAACAGGTCTTAACACACAGTCCAGTAGCTGCGCCCCTTGCTGCAGCCACACCACAACCTGTACATAGAAGTTTCGGCAACCCTATTCATAACTACCAAAACTTGGAAGCAGCCAAGATGTCCTTCAGTGGGTGATTAGATGAACGAACTGTGGTCCATCCAGACAGTGGAATGTTATTCAGTACTAAAAATACGTCTATCAAGCTATGAAAAGACATGGAGGAAACTTAAATGCATGTTACTAAGTGACAGAAGCCAATCTGAAAAAGCTGCCTACTGTCTGATTCCAGCTATAGGAAGACTGGAAAAGGGAGAACTATGGAAACAGTAGAAAGATGAGTGCTTGCCAGGGGCTCAGGGGAGGGAGGCTGAGCAGGCAGGCGGGAGGGCTTTAGGGCAGTGTGCCTGCTCCAGATGATGCTCTCATGGTGGCTCCAGGTCATTACACATTTGTCCAAACTCGCAGAATGTACACCACCAAGAGTGAACCCTCGTGTCAACTGTGGACTTGAGGGACATGTCAGTGTGGGTTTGCCGATTGTAACAAATGTGTCCTCCAGGGATTGGCGGGTGGAGGCACTGATCTGTAGAGAAGCAGAGGGTATGTGGGAAATCTCTGTACCTTCCTCTCAATTTTGCTGTGAACCTAAAACTGTTCTAAAAACATAAAGTCCTTTTTTTTAAGTTAATTTGAAAAGATGAATAAAACTGATAAACCTGTTACTAAATTGATGAAGAAAAGCAGAAAGCACAAATTGCCAGTATACAGCATGAAAAAGGGACATCTGTATACATAGATAATGCAGACTAAAGAGATGAGGGAATATTTATACCAATACATTTGAAACTTCAAGTAAAATGCGTGCCATGAAAATTTCAGGTAAAATGAACACATTCCTTGAAAAATACAACCTAATAAGACTGAAGTATGAAGAAATAGAAAACTAGAAACCTTGAATGGTTCCATGTCTACTGAAGACATTGAATCTGAAATGAAAACTCTGCCCACAAGGAAACCTCAGGATCAGAGGGCTTCCCTGTGAGTTTTTCCAGACACCGAAGGAGGAACCAGCAGCTGTGCTACGCCCTTTCTTCCAGAGAGCAGAAGAAGAAGGAAGGCTTTCCAACTGTTTCTCTAAGTCCAGCAAAATCCTGATGCAAAAATCTAACAAAGACATCACAAGAAATAGAAATTTAGGCCATTCTGTTTCATGAAAATAAAGCTTCCAAACAAAATACTAACAAATCAAATCCAGCAATATGTAAAACCAATAATACATGATGACCAAGTTGGGTTTATTTTTGGAATGCAATATTGATTTAACATTTGAAAACCATTGTAAATAACAATGAATAAGAAAAAGGATATAATGGATGCTAAAAAAATACTTGATTAAATTCAGTACCTGTTCATGGCAGTCACCTTCAGGCTTCTGTAGGAAATACACTTCTCACTAACACGTCCTGTTAGCATCTGCTCAGCCCTGTGTACGTGTGTAATGGTTGCTCTTTTTAAAAACGAGTGTTGTTTTGGATAATTTTGTAGAATAAAAAGTGTCGCACAGCACTATTTTAGGGTATAGTAGTGCTGTGCAACAAAAATCATTTTGATTAAACCTAGATTAACTCTCGGATAATCTCAGTTCATGATACGTTTCTTACAGTGGTGAGCAAGGTTCTTCTATTTTAGTAAGTGAAGCCTTAACTTCTAAAGGAGCTAAAATATCTGTTACTTTTTTCCTAATTTATTTTAGTTTTATTTAAAATAACTCTTGGTTAATTTGAGCTACATAGATAAGCCAGACAATGACGGATTCAGTTTCACTTACCTCATTTACGGACTCATGTGGACACTCGCTAGATATCGGTATCACTTTCCATGGGGCCAGTGTCAGCCAGGAGGTAGAGAGTATCTCATGCAGCATCCTCGCTAAATGCAGGAACCCTCTGCAGCATCTTAGGATAGCTTCCCCGTTTGAGAACAGAATGTTGGACATCAAGGTAAATTTGACAGTGAAAAGAAATATTTCATATTGGTATGGTCTTAATTTGCAAAGATTATCAGCCTATCAACCTAGTGAGATACATAAGCCATTTTATTCTTAAATGATAAGTGTTCATTTAAAGTTAGATCTTTCATAACAAATACTCATAATTACAACAATTATGATTTTTAAATACAATAAACTTAATAGTGTCTAAAATGATACTCTTTTGGCTTCCCTGTCTGTCCCTTTGCCTTTGAAGAAAGTTGTTCAGGAAAGAATGCACCCAGAAGTGAATGATCATGTGAGCTTTTTCCTAGTGGACCACAGTTTTCACCGTTTCTGTTCTCGGCCTAGAGGTTCCTGGGAGGCAAGAGACACTGTGCTCACTGCCTCTGTATGTGGAGCAGGCCTGAGTAAGTGTCTGAGGTTTGAATGGATGGGTGGATGGATGAAGACACACTCTGACTGTAGAGGCACCCTCATTTCTGTCAGCTGAGGTTGTTTCCAAGTCCTCTGTAATCAGTAGAGCTGGTGAAGCTCAGCTTTGAGGATGCAGCTATGGTGATGCTGTCCAGTTACTGAGTGAGCATCCGTTCTGAGCAGAGTAACTTTGCAGAGCTGAGATCTGTTTCCTGCATGTGTGACTCCTGTCTTACATTTTTGGTGTGTGTTCTGGTCTCCACAGCCTGATTACATCAACCCCAGAGCCGTGCAGCTGGGCTCCCTTCTCGTCCGCGGCCTCACCACTCTGGTTTTAGTCAACAGCGCATGTGGCTTCCCCTGGAAGACGAGTGATTTCATGCCCTGGAATGTATTTGACGGGAAGCTTTTTCATCAGAAGTACTTGCAATCTGAAAAGGGTTATGCTGTGGAGGTTCTTTTAGAACAAAATGTGAGTTCACAGACACCTACCTTTCACCAGAAACATCCCTGTAGCTCCAGGCTGCACAAAAAACATGAAGTCGGCTGTTGCATTTTTCAAATTAATGCTTTCCAAATAAAGGATTCCGTTAAACCAGGAACACATGATTTGAAGCATTAGGCTTCTGCATCAACATAACTAATACAGGCTGAATATCCCTTATCTGAAATACTTAGGACCAGAAGTGTTTTGGATTTTGAATGTTTTTGGAATTTTGGAATGTTTGCATATACAGTTGATCCTTGAACAATGCAAGGGTTAAGGGCTCCAAATCCTTCTGCAGTGGAAAACCTGTATATAATTTTTGACTCCCCCAAAACGTTACTACAAAGAGCCTACTGTTGACCAGAAGCCTTAACCAATAACATAAGCCGTCAATTAACACATCATTTGTATTATATATGTATTATATACTGTATTCTTACAATAAAGTAAGTGAGCTAGAGAAAAGAAAATGTGATTAAGAAAATCATAAGAGAGAACTATATTTACTGTCCATTAAATGGAGGTGATCATCCTCACATTGAGTGGGCTGAGAAGGAGGAAGAGGGGTGGGTCTTGCTGCCTCAGGCGTGGCAGAGGCAGAAGAAGATTCGAGTGTAAGTGATCTATGCAGTTCAAACCCATGTTGTTCAAGGGTCAGCTGTACATACATAATGAGATATCTTGGGGCTGAGACCCAAATCTAAACACAAAGTTCATGTATGTCTCATATACTCCTTATACAATAGCCCGAAAGTAATTTTATACAGTATTATTAATGACGTGCATGGAACAGTGTTTTCACTGCATCCATCACATGAGACCAGGTGTGGAATTTTCCACTTATAGCAGTTTTAGATTTTGGATTTTCAGATTAGGAGTGCTCAACCTGTAGCTTCTTCCAGAATTCTTAAATAGGGTTCAGGACTCCCAAACTTATGGTTAGGTAGGGCGAGCAGTATCACACCCAGTCTGACACATTTTTAATTTTTGAAGTGCTTTTCACTCCTCTCCCCATTTCTCACACACACACACGCACACATATATGTAATACACATACTTTTTTTTTTTGAGACAGGGTCTTGCTCTGTTGCCCAGCCTGGAATGCAGTGGTGCAATCTCCACTAACTGCAAACTTCCACCTCCTGGGCTCAAGTGATCCTCCCTCCTCAGCCTTCTGAGTAGCCAGGACTGCAGGCGCGCATCACCATGCCCAGCTAATTTTTGTATTTTCTGTAGAGGTGAGGTTTTTCCACGTTGCCCAGGCTGGTCTTGAACTCCTGGGCTCAAAGTGATCCGTCTGCCTCAGCCTCCCAAAGTGCTGGGATTACAGGTGTGAGCCACCGCGACCAGCCCCTCTCCCTATTTTTTAATGAGGAACTAATACTCCCTGCAAAAGTGCCCCACAGATATCAGACTAATCTGATAGGTGTAGTTATGATTTATTACTTGAAAATACTCCCCAAAGGCTGCCAATTTAGTTGGGGACGCTGGCTGCTGTCCAGCTTAATAAATACAATCGCTACATGACTCCTGGAAGATTTCCAAGTAAGGCCTCAAGCCAAGCTCATTTGGAATGTGTTTTAATACCCGCAGGGATGAGAAAAGCGGTGTGATCCGTGAGAGAGCATACCGGTCTGTCACGATAAAGCACTCCAAGCTTTCATAGCGGAGAGAACACATTTGGTAATGTGTTGCCATCACTGTTCCTCACATACACACACACAGATTCCAGAGTGGCATAGGACTGCAAGTATTTAGAACTTAGAAGCAGCCTGAATTTTATAGAGAGCAAAAGCAGAACAAGAGGAGAAATGTGCTTCTAATAAGCCAATAAGTATTGGAAAGTAGACTGTAGAAATGAAAGGTAAAGTAGCCTTAGTGTAGCCTGTAAGTCATTCCATCAAGGATCTTTTCCTTTCTTTATCCAATCTCTTGACCAAGTTCCAAGTGATTATACGTTCTAGTTTGGGGAAAAAAAAAAGTATAGGATAGAATATTCAACAATAAAACAGGAAGCTTGAAGGAAAGGTTGAATGTTCCATGTTCCATTTCTTGATCTGCTGATGTTGTTTTGTTTTTTGTTTTTTGTTTTTTTTCTGACGTTGGCATTTCTGCGGAATGTTCTTATAATTAAGAATCGAAAGATTAAGATATATTAAATCCAAACACTTTTTAAGGTAAGATTGTGTGGTAATCACCTAAATTGTCGTAATAGGACTTGAAGATTCTTTTTTAGAAATGATTGTTTAACCTACAGAAGCTGCTTGGTGTTCTTTTTCTGGGGGATTTAGGAGAATATGTTCTCGAAGAACCTCTTGGGATGTGGTCATGCTGAAGGAGAACTGTGCTGCGGTTCATGTCTGGGAGGAGGGTGCAGCCACCATTGCTGCCTCGCCTTGGGAACAGTGTGGAAGGGTGTCCCCTAAGCTTCCTTCCAGCCACATCTGGCCCTACTTTGCCACATCTGGCCCCTCACATCTCATTTGCATCTGGTCTGTTTGCAGAGATCTCGGCTCACCAAATTCCACAACCTGAAGGCAGTCGTCTGCAAGGCCTGCATGAAGGAGAACAGACGCATCACTGGCCGAGCCCACTGGGGCTCACACCACGCAGGTGGGAAAGGGCCAGGTGCCTCTAGAAGCCCCACAAGCGTAGACCCTAACTGCTTCCTGAGTTTTGTTGATAAATGAATTCTAAGAAGAGGCTGATATAATTGGATGAACAGAATAGAATTTAAATGATAGGGCCGGGTGCGGTGGCTCACGCCTGTAATCTCAGCACTTTGGGAGGCCGAGGCAGGCAGATCACTTGAGGTCAGGAATTCAAGACCAGCCTGGCCCACATGGTGAAACCCCGTCTCTACTAAAAATACAAAAATGAACCGGGCGTGTTGGCGGGCGCCTGTAATCCCAGCTACTTGGGAGGCTGAGGAAGGAGGATCACTTGAACCTGGGAGGTGGAGGTTGCAGTGAGCCAAGATCACGTCACTGCACTCCAGTCTGGGTGACAGATCGAGACTCCATCTCAAAAAAAAAAAAGTATTAAAATCTCTACCCAGTGGTTTAAATTCTGGTCCCAGCAGGAAAATTTCTCAGAAAGGATTCGCTCATTAATTAAATAATGAAGAACTCTTTCTCTGCATGTGTAACCTCCTTTCTAGGGTTCCCCAAAGTGGAACGGCTGCTTAGGTAATGTTTGTTTATTTGACAAGAGTTTAGGTTTATTTTTTCTTATGATAAAAGTATATTATAAAAAATGAGTATAAAGAAAGTAATTAAAAAGGAAATATACATGGCCTTTAATTCTATCACATAAAGACAACGAGCTTCTGCCAAGGTTTTCTGTGTTTGCATCTCATTGTGAGTACACTCCATGCAGTTTGCATCCTGCTTTCCCACTTAGCACTTAACTTAGGGCGTTAACACCGTTCTTCTTAAACAACGGCCACAGAATCTTCCACTACTACATAGCTTGTTCCCCTGTTTGGAGCTCTGAGGGTATTTCCATTTTTTTCTCATTACTCCTAATGCTTGTATGTGTATTATTATTATTTTCTTCAAACAGAATATCATTGTCTGTGGAATCATAGATTGAAATGTAATCAATTTTAGGTAAATGATCACTGAATACCTTCTCCAGCAGTGAGCAAGAGTTTCCGTTTCAGGGTACCCTTGACACTTCTAAAAGTCTGGGGGTTTTTTGCTTTTTGTTTTTTTGAGATGGAGTTTCACTCTTGTTGCCCAGGCTGGAGTGCAGTGGCTCGATCTCGGCTCACTGCAACCTCCGCCTCCCGAGTTCAAGCGATTCTCTTGCCTCAGCCTCCCGAGCAGCTGGGACTACAGGCTTGTGCCACCACGCCCGGCTAATTTTTGTATTTTTAGTACAGAAGGGGTTTCACCATGTTGGCCAGGATTGTCTCAATCTCTTGACCTCGTGATCCGCTGGTTTTCAAAAACCAATTTGGTAGATGAAAAATCTATCTCATTGATTGAATGCTGCTTTGTCTGTCAGTGAAGTTAGATATCTTATTAGTTTATTTTGTTAATGAGACTTTTTAATTATTCTTTCATGCCCTCCTTCAGTTCATGTTTACACCTGTAACTACTGCAGTCCCATTATTTTTCTTGATGGAATAGGAGAACTCAGCCCAGATTCTTATCCACCCAGACTATCTCTAGGAGAACTACTTGGTGTCAGCCTTGCAAATACCATTCTCAGAGGTTTCGTGTCATGGGGGGAGTAGCCGCCTCAGATGCACCCAGATCCCACCAGGTGTCGTGCGTAGCACCCCATGAAGGGAGAGCAGCCAGGGTGTGTGGAGCCATGTCCAACCATGAGAGGGAAGGCTGCTTTTTCTACTGTTCCCAATCCTTTTCTCCATCTTTTGACTTTCTGCCACCAACTATAGATAGACAGAGATTGAGACCCCCAAAACAAAGTTGATTTATTGCAAAATAAATGTGTGATACTCTCTCACATTGCCTGTTTCCTTACCTGGTTGGCAGTAGGTCCTCAGAAGTTTGCGCCGTGGCTGGGCACACACCTGTAATCTGAGCACTTTGGCAGGCTGAGGTGGGAGAATCACTTAAGGCCAGGAGTTTGACACTGGCCTGAGAAACATAGCGAGACCCTGTCTTTACAAAAAAAAAAAAAAAAAAGTCTGCACTGCATACACAGTCCTGCAGGGTTCCCTCTCCTCTCCAGACTGAGGTTGTCAGCGAAGCCATGACAAGCGGCTGAGAGACCTGCAGATGCTGGACGCTGCTGCTTAGGTGGCAGTAGGCGTGGCGGTTGTCAGGCCAAACTCCTCTTTCATTTCAGAGGCCATGAGGTCCTGCAGGACAAGTTTATTTTGAGCACTAAAGATGACCTGTTAGTCTAATGCAGTGTGGTACAGTGGTACTTACAATTTTTATAGAAACTAAATTTTGACTATTTTCTAATGAAGTCTGCATACAAATGGGCAGAAATCAGTGTCCTGTCATATTATTCCAAGTTAATGAGGCAAACTACATTTTCCTTTTGTATTATTCCATTAATGAGGCGAACTACATTTTAAGAGCTATGATAGATTAGTAAGATCATTTCGTGATTTGGAAACTGTTCCCTTTTTTGTTCTCAAAGTAATTTTCTTCACAAATCCAACTTAAGGTTCTATGGTTCAGTCCCTCATTTTGCTGAAGAACCTTATGCCCCACATGGCTCACCCAAAACCAAGCTGATTCTTCGTTGCAGAACTTAGACTGAAGCCTCCACCGCTTGGCCCCAGCCCCATGTTCTTGGGTAATGCTGAGCTTGCACCTCCTGTGTTGGGGAAGGGCTGTAGGGACGTGGTAGGGCCCTGCAGTCCTGACTGCCGTTGTCTGCTTCCACGGGCCGCACAGCCAGGCCACTGCAACACCAAGCTACTCGGTGTGTTGGCCTCTGGACCCAAGCTGACAGCTGTGAGCTCACAACTGCTCCAAGCTTGGAGTCACCTGTTATTCTCAGTGTGTGGTCACAAGTGCTCATGCTGGAGGTGAGCTGGAGACCACGTGTGTAAGATGAGCACACACGGGCTGACCCTGGCCAGATGTGAGGAGCATGTCACCAGTCCTGCAGACCAGTAGCTCAGAGACAAGGGCAGCAGTCACAAAGGGATGACATCACGGCAGGAAGGTGGGTCTTGGGGGACTTTCAGTAGCTAGACTGGGGTAAAACACCACAATGGGAGGACACTGGGGAAGGTGAGTCAGCCTTAGAGACCACAGAGGCTGCTGAATGCCAGGCAAGTCGTGGCTTTTCTACCCACCTCATACTGGGGAGGTTTTGAAGTTTTTTGAGGTGATGTGATGAGAAATCTGTTAGTTCAGGACCTGTATCTGGGCCCCAGACAAGGGGGTTGGTCCTGAGGGCAGCCCAGGAGCATGTGCCAGCACAAGGCCACGCCTCCGTGGACACCGCAGCATGCCAGCACAAGGCCACGCCTCCGTGGACACCGCAGCATGCCAGCACAAGGCCACGCCTCCGTGGACACCGCAGCATGCCAGCACAAGGCCACGCCTCCGTGGACACCGCAGCATGCCAGCACAAGGCCACGCCTCCGTGGACACCGCAGCATGCCAGCACGAGGCCACGCCTCCGTGGACACCGCAGCATGCCAGCACGAGGCCACGCCTCCGTGGACACCGCAGCATGTCAGCACAAGGCCATGCCTCCGTGGACACCGCAGCATGTCCAGGGAGGACCAGCCTGGTGGAGGCACACCCTGCAAGGCCACTCTTCCCTCATAGCTAAAGCCCCAGGTGGCCTGCACACTGCATGTGTGGTCACGCACTGGGAGTCCTGGTCACAGTGTGGCCCACCTCGCGGATGCTTCCAGTGCACCTGTGGAGCAGGGACAGTACCCATGGCAGGGCTGGACGGCCTGGGCCTTCTTTGTGGAGCACCATGGACTATCACGATACCTTTAAAAAATCACATGAGTTTGTATGTAATCAGGCCTTCTAGTAGAGACAAACAGGACAAGGTGTCATGGACTGGGAAGTTATGGAAATTTTAAAGTACGAAAAGTGTGTGTGAGTGAAGTTTGTGGAGAATGGGGAGAAGCTCACAAGTCCCAGAAGTGCTGCTCCATGCCTCAACCAGGGCCCTAGAGGGATGGGCTTGGTCATGGGCGCCATGGCCTGCATGGGTCCAGGGGGCCCCAGGGAAGAGGAGTGGTTGGGCTGCTCAAGTCTTTGTTTGCAGAGTCCGACCTCTCACCACCAATACCAGATTCTCCTGGGGTAGGGTTTAACACGCAGATCTGTGACTCCACTCCTGAGCCGGGTTCTCTGGGGATGCAACCCTTAAATTTGCGTTTTTTCATGACCCTCCCTCTGATTTAAGTACGGGGATACTGCTGACCTGGTGCTGCCTTGCCACCCTTTACATGCTGTGTCATTTGGGTTAAGACATTTGACAACTTACTAATCTTCTGACTATGTGTTCCCACAGGGAGGTGGGGAAGACAGGGCTCCAGCTACCACAGGACGGGCTCTGGGTATAGCCGTTCCAGTCAGGGACAGCCGTGGAGAGACCAGGGACCAGGTAAGAAGGCCAGTGGTCACTCTGCTGGGCCACCTGCATGGCACTGCCTCTCACCTTGTGCTTTTGCTGATAACTGCCTTCCTCTGTTTCAGAAAGGTTGTATAGTTCCAGTAAATAAACAGATAAATATACCAATGCATCTAATTTTTATCATTTAGTGAAATAAAGACAAATAATTTCCATGGTTGATGCTAGCCCTGTCTGCATCTGGCCACTTTATTCATTTTCTATCAGTTCATTCTGCTCAAGATCCAGTTTTTGTAATTTACTTGCTAGAAGGTACTTGTAAAGTTTACATGTGGAAGATCCATTGTTCTCATGAAAAAAGGACAGGTTATAGTGTTTCACCAATAGCTGCATTCAGGTAATAGGATTCTGATATTTTCCGTGACTTGGATTACAGTGTGAGGTAGGAAATAGCCCCAACCCTTTGTTTTTTACATATGTTGTACAGATGCTGTTTTAATGCATGTATCGTGCTGAATTTAAATACATCGAGAACTTCACATCAGTATTTGAGCTCAAATTCCGTATAGTTTTGAGAGCCAAACTTTATAAACTTTGAAATTACCTAATATTTATCATTTAATCCCTTAAAATCCAAATCAGCCTTTGATTTATGATATCTGTGACTTTCACAACGTCTAAAATGTGTAGAGACTTCGCAAGCTGCTCAAATTATTCCCTAAAACACAGCAAGTCTTCAGTGTGAATCCAGTTGACCTTTGGGGTCTGTCTCGGGTGGAGTCTGCATGGAGGCTGCGGGGCCGCACATCTGTTGAGTACCGTGTCCTTTCCTCTTGGGTCTGTACAGTCAGCAAACATTGCGAGTCCACTGTATTGCTGACTGTAGATGAGAATTGATGGTGAATGTTTTTGAAATGCCCATCCTTGAGAGAGAGCTCCATGAATTTAATGCCCATCTTTGAGAGAGCTCCAGGAATTTAGATTTACATTTGCTTGAGATGTTTCCTTGAATGAGCTTAACCTGCAGAAACTCAACCCCACCGAGTCGTGCAGTCACTGTCATGTGGAGCTTCCAGATGGCCCCACTGAACACGTGCAGTCCATCCTTTCATGGTCTCTACTACAGTGTAAACATAAGGGTCACTTCCACTTCGTCACTAACTAAATCATCCGAGTATTTATACCAGTGCAGGGCAACTGAGATCTGGGCAAAAGACCTTCCATTTGTGCAAGGATATTTGAGATTGCTTTTAACTTAGAAGGTGCTGCAGTTGATTGGAGTAAACCACAAACAGGGAACCCAAAAACAATGGGAGGGGTTTTGTAAACTTACGTAGACTCAGACTGAAGCCTGGTGCTTTGGGCCATTGCCGCTGCCCTAGGCGACTCTGGCCTTGGGGTGCAGTCCTGTGTGATGCATGTGCTGTGGCTTTCCAGTTAGCTTCTCCACCCTGGTTAAGAGTCTGCTTTCAGGTCAGAGACTGCAGCCCTGAGGTCGTGTGTGTGTAGAGAGCTCAATGCCTGTCCTGGGGGCTCCCCGTGGGCTGGGGGCCTACAGCCCTGACTTGGCGGATCTGTCTGCAGCTGGCCGTGCACATTAGGGCTGCTTGGGAAGAGTGCAGGGTCTGGGCTTCTGAGTCTTTGGGATGAGAGGCCTTCCTCACATGAGCCATGGTGAGGGTGCTCCCAAGAGGAAGGTGAGCGTGTGCAGAGCACTTAGGTCCAAATGGGTGGGTAGAGCTTATGTTCCCCCTCCATCCCTCCCTCACTCTCTCTGCTGCTTGAAATAGCAAATCTGAGATCTCCTTGACAAGGTGATATTTAAGCAAAGGCCTGATGAGAGGGTGGGAGCTGATGCCAGATGCCTGTGGGCCAGATTTGGGGGCAGAGGGGCCAGTCGGAGCTGTCACGAGGTCAGGTGGGCTAGACTTGGAGGGCCCTGCAGCTCTGTGTGAATCTGGAGTCCACCCCGACCGAGAAGCTTGACCCAGGTGATTGCAGCAGGTGGTGAGACCTCATTGACCACATCCCGCAGAAATGCTCAAGGTCTGCAGACCGACCACATCCAGCTGATGATGGCACACAGCTTGGTCTAGATCTAGGGTTTAGTAATGTCGGAAATATTGGTGTTGACTGATGTGGAGTAAAGCTACTGGGTGAAGCGGGCATCCCAGCCTCATCCATCCACACCTTCCCACCCTGGAGATCCGTGACCAGCCTGGCCGTAAATGCCAGGCCAACCTTGATGACATGAAAGCTGTTGGCCCCTCTAGGTGAGGATTCAGCAGAACCCACCTGACCCAGTAAGGCAGGCTGGCAGGGGAGGGAAGAGCCACAGCCTCTCTTTCGGGCAGACTGACTGGGCAGGGCGTGCTGTCATGTCCCCTACTCCTAGCCTCGTGGTAAGAAAGGAGACCTTCTGCTTACCCTCTTTGGCTTGGGGTTGCCCCCTTTCTTCCCCCTGGGCCTCAGGAAGGTGGAGAGGGGATAGTCAAGAGAGTCCACAGTCCAGATGGGAGGATGGGAAAGAGGCTACGGGTTCTGCAGACAGGTGTGCCTGCCTGTCACAGAGGAAACTGTAAAGAGTGTGCCATCAGGCCTCCCACTGATGGGACTCATCGCCACAGGCAACGCACTGAAACCTTTCCATCAGGCATCTGGCCTGGATAACCTTGAGTGTCCTTTCTAGCTCTGGAATTCTGTGACTTTCTATTCTATTTATTGAATGGTGGGTGAGACATTAGTAAAGTGTAACTCTTAGGAGTCAATAAGGAAGGTAGAACTATGTCATAACTCTTAGGAGTGAGTGGGAAAGGTAGAACTATGTCATAACTCTTAGGAGTGAGTGGGGAAGGTAGAACTATGTCATAACTCTTAGGAGTGAGTGAGAAAGGTAGAACTATGTCATAAGCCTTAGGAGTGAGTGGGGAAGGTAGAACTATGTCATAACTCTTAGGAGTGAGTGGGGAAGGTAGAACTATGTCATAACTCTTAGGAGTGAGTGAGAAAGGTAGAACTATGTCATAAGCCTTAGGAGTGAGTGGGGAAGGTAGAACTATGTCTTAACTCTTCGGAGTGAGTGGGAAAGGTAGAACTATGTCATAACTCTTAGGAGTGAGTGGGGAAGGTAGAACTATGTCATAACTCTTAGGAGTGAGTGGGGAAGGTAGAACTATGTCATAACTCTTAGGAGTGAGTGAGAAAGGTAGAACTACGTCATAAGCCTTAGGAGTGAGTGGGGAAGGTAGAACTATGTCATAACTCTTAGGAGTGAGTGGGGAAGGTAGAACTATGTCATAACTCTTAGAAGTGAGTGGGAAAGGTAGAACTATGTCATAACTTAGGAGTGAGTGGGAAAGGTAGAACTATGTCATAACCCTTAGGAGTGAGTGAGAAAGGTAGAACTATGTCATAACTCTTAGGAGTGAGTGGGAAAGGTAGAACTATGTCATAACTCTTAGGAGTGAGTGGGAAAGGTAGAACTATGTCATAACTCTTAGGAGTGAGTGGGGAAGGTAGAACTATGTCATAACTCTTAGGAGTGAGTGGGGAAGGTAGAACTATGTCATAACTCTTAGGAGTGAGTGAGAAAGGTAGAACTATGTCATAACTTAGGAGTGAGTGGGGAAGGTAGAACTATGTCATAACTCTTAGAAGTGAGTGGGAAAGGTAGAACTATGTCATAACTCTTAGGAGTGAGTGAGAAAGGTAGAACTATGTCATAACTCTTAGTAGTGAGTGGGGAAGGTAGAACTATGTCATAACTCTTAGGAGTGAGTGAGAAAGGTAGAACTATGTCATAACCCTTAGGAGTGAGTGGGGAAGGTAGAACTATGTCATAACTCTTAGGAGTGAGTGAGAAAGGTAGAACTATGTCATAACTCTTAGGAGTGAGTGGGGAAGGTAGAACTATGTCATAACTCTTAGGAGTGAGTGAGAAAGGTAGAACTATGTCATAACTCTTAGGAGTGAGTGGGGAAGGTAGAACTATGTCATAACCCTTAGGAGTGAGTGAGAAAGGTAGAACTATGTCATAACCCTTAGGAGTGAGTGAGGAAGGTAGAACTATGTCATAAGCCTTAGGAGTGAGTGGGGAAGGTAGAACTATGTCATAACTTAGGAGTGAGTGGGGAAGGTAGAACTATGTCATAACTCTTAGAAGTGAGTGGGAAAGGTAGAACTATGTCATAACTCTTAGGAGTGAGTGAGGAAGGTAGAACTATGTCATAACCCTTAGGAGTGAGTGAGGAAGGTAGAACTATGTCATAAGCCTTAGGAGTGAGTGGGGAAGGTAGAACTATGTCATAACTTAGGAGTGAGTGGGGAAGGTAGAACTATGTCATAACTCTTAGAAGTGAGTGGGAAAGGTAGAACTATGTCATAACTCTTAGGAGTGAGTGGGGAAGGTAGAACTATGTCATAACTCTTAGGAGTGAGTGAGGAAGGTAGAACTATGTCATAACTCTTAGGAGTGAGTGGGGAAGGTAGAACTATGTCATAACTCTTAGGAGTGAGTGGGGAAGGTAGAACTATGTCATAAGCCTTAGGAGTGAGTGAGAAAGGTAGAACTATGTCATAACCCTTAGGAGTGAGTGGGGAAGGTAGAACTATGTCATAACCCTTAGGAGTGAGTGAGGAAGGTAGAACTATGTCATAACCCTTAGGAGTGAGTGGGGAAGGTAGAACTATGTCATAACTCTTAGGAGTGAGTGGGGAAGGTAGAACTATGTCATAAGCCTTAGGAGTGAGTGGGGAAGGTAGAACTATGTCATTTACAGATGTATCATCAAGAACATGCCCCATCCTGCCCTGATCTCAGAAGGCAGGTGGAGTGGGACCTGTTTGGTACTGACTCCTCTGGGAATGATAAGAGTCACAGGCTTTTCTTTATTTCTTTCATTTTCTTCCAGAGGCGGCCTGCTGTGGTAGCTTCAGACAGGCTGACTTTGTCTCAAGCGCTGGTTCTGCCCCTTCCCAGTGGCCTGCCCTTAGGGGATCCCTGGACCACTGGGCTGCTCCCTGGCTTCTGATCAGTGTGGCCTGACCGGCTGCAGGGACGGCACCTCCACAGCACCAGCATCCAGGCAGAGGGGATCGTGGCCACTTCTTCCAAAACCAAGTTTTTCCTTTCCTGGCATTAATTCTAACATTTCTCTTAATATTTATGTCAAACTATTTTGTTAAAGAGTTTTTTCTGTTAAAAATAAAGCAATGTCCGTCCTACCTCAGTATCGCTGTTCTTGCAGAATGAAGTGAAGCAGGAACATCACCAAAGCCTGCAGGTGTGGCCTGGCGGGAGCAGAGCCATCTGCTTCTCCCAGGGCTCCCCCAGAGCATGGCCCCCAGGTCAAGTGCCAGGAAGGATGCCATGCACATTGGCTTCTTTCTTTCATGTGACGACAGAGACTACAGGAGCATCTTTAAACTAGACCAAAAGAACCCCCTTCCTTGGATTGACAGGAAGCAGCTTTCTTCCGATTCTGTTAGCAGAGAACAGTGTCCAGAAATTTCTCATCCTCATGCAAATTAAAACAGCATAATGACTTTCCATAGGCGGAATTGTAGCTAGTCATCCTCAGCCCTGGGTCCCTGCCAGGGGAAAGTCTCACTCTTGGAACCCTGTGTGCCTCTGCAGCAGATCCCTCGGCCATCCAGTAACAGGAACCCCCCAGTCGCCCCGGTCTTGCCAGAAGTCCAGAGGCCACCATGGTTTCCTCGTCCTGCCTGATGGCAGCTCCTTGGGGCAGGCTGAGCTAAGCCTGAGGGGTCTCCAAGTGGCATTCAGCAGCTGGTGTGTGGGTGAGGAGAGAGCCCTCAGATGGACACAGGTTTGGGGGTGACAGGACATGGGGGGCTGGCAGGAGACAGACAGAGGCAGTGTCCCATCAGGACTGAGCTGGAGAAGGAGGCCGTCCAGAAGCTGGCAGAGAAGAGAGGCTCTGAGGATAGAAGCTGACAGAAAGGGCCAGGGAGCAGGGAGGGAGGGAGCAAAGGCCGCTGTCCCCTGCAGGAGCCAGGACAGGCACCGCCAGTATCTCCAGGAGTGCTTATTTCTTACTTCTTTCTGCCTGTAATAGTATAAGCTACTGATAGGAAGCAGAAAATTTATACAGGCTGAGTATCCCAAGTCTGAGATCCAGAATGCTCCACAGTCCAGAATTTTTGCCCACCAACAGGACACTCAAAGGAAATGCTCCTTGAAGCATTTTGGAATTTCGGATATTCAGATTAGGGTTGCTGAACCCCGGTAAGTATAATGCAGATATTCCAAAATCTGAAAAAAATCTGAAACCTGAACTACTTCTGGTTCCAAGCATTTCAGAAAGGGGTTACTCAGCCTGTAGTAAACAACCCAGGGCTGCCTCCGCAGCCTGCATCTGTGTGGCTTTGGATGCATGAGTGGCCACAGGCCTCCCCAAGAGGCACTCTCTCTTCCCCGAACATGCCATCCTCCCTCAGGACTCCCTGCGCCCTGGGCTCTGTGGGCCCTGCACCCTGCGTGTCCCACGCTTCAGTCCCTCATCATCTTTGCTGTGTTCCCACTGCTGAGGGTGCTGTGCACGTCCCAGGATGGACCTAAGGAGGCAGGCTCAGCAGACGAAGGCCCCTGTTTGTGCGCCCTCTTAAATATTAAATATTAAATCTAGTCTTGCTTTAATATTTGCTTCCTGTAGATTCCCGAATCCCTGAGCTGGTCCGCAAGGCTGTGGGGGTGGCAGAGGTCCTCCCTAGACTCTGCATTTTGCCAAGCTTTCCATAGCATGCCCAGTAATTTGCTTTTAAATCTAGTACGCACACCTGTAAGTACCACTTTAGCACAAGCTTCATTTCTGACATACATTTCTTTAGGATGTCATTGACAAATATAAATAAAAAGCCAAGTAACCAAAGTGAGTTAGTAGCTCTTCCTGACCCAGAAAGGAGCACGGAGGAGATGTGAGCAGTGGGCACAGGAGCAGTGCGGGCACGCTGGCCCTGCTGAGTGAAGCACGCGTGACCAGGAGAGCAGCTCCACACCTGTCTCTGTCGCCTCGTTCCTAAGTCACTATTAAGTGAAGTGGGCTCTCCCGGGCTCTGCGGAGCCCACAGCCCTCCAGAAAAAGGAGGAGACAGTTGGGCTACATGGCGTGAACTCCAGGTGTAGGGTTCCCTTCTCACCACCTACAGGACCACTTTGAATTTCAGGAATGATTTGGAACTCGAAGGAATGTTTGTCAGTCTGGGTGCAAGGCCTAAGGGAGCATGTTTTACCACTTCTGTTCTGGTCACTTAGAAACAATAAAACTGTAATGACCTCAGCAGCTGGAGCCTAACACCACTTCAAGGCTGTGCCCTAGTTTCATAAATAGGTCTTTGAAGAAGATCCCTGCTTTATTGGAGTAGATCATAACAGTAACACAGAAATCAAAGAGTGGTGATGCGTGTGGGTTTGGGGCCAGAAAGTAGCTCTGGGAGACTCTTAGGTTAAAGGCAAAATTGAGATGTTAAATGCTGAGTTTGTGTCAGATTTAAGAGTTTAGGAATGAGAGTGGGAGAAATTAAGCCGTTCTTGCAAGACAGAAGCAAGGATGCTATATTTCATTTGCATTCTGCCTTCCATGCGGAAGTAGTTACAAAAGTGATATTAGTGGTGCCTGTGTGTATTCTAATTTCAGAGATTCCAGTATAAAGTGTATGTTATACACACATGCACACACACTGCTCTCATCAGGACTGGAATCTGCTTTTCAGACCAAGTAATCCACCTTTTCAGTTGTAATTACTGTGAGGGAGTTTGGGGCAGCACATTTCTCCTGGGTTTTGCCTACCTTCAACTCCTCTTTTGGTATTTCTTGAAGATATTAAAGTAGTTCAAGTAGAAAGTTGTCACTATTTCCAGGGCAATTGATAGGTAAAATTTCTTGTGTTAGTAAAAAAACTAAAAATGCCTCTTCATGAAAGTATTCAGTCACTGCCAAAAGTTGTCAAGTTTCTGGAGCCTGAGTGTGTGGACAGGTAGGGGGTCCTGGGGAGCCTGGCCTGAACTCTCTGGTCCACTTCAAAGGCCTCAGAGCTCAGTGCAGGCAGCTGCCCCGAGAACAAAGGCTGCTCAAGTGAGAAGGCTTTAACCTCTTCCTTGCTGTTGCTCAGCCCCGCTGGAAAGAGATGACGTGTTAAATTCCACAGTCCATAGCTACAATTTGCCTGTGATTTTCCAGATTGTCACTTCTCTGTGGTGATTCTGTAGGAGGCCTGCCATAAAACTGCTGTGATCATCTGTGGTAACAAGGGTGGGGGCAGAGTAACAAGGGTCTGGAAACCTCACTTTGGCTGTAGCCCTCTCCTTTCACACCTTCTGCCGGAGCCCACACTTTTGGGGGAGGGGAGAGACCCAGGCTGCCCACGGCAGGAGTGGGTCAGAGGAGAGGCATGGAGACCATCCCCAGTCACGGCAAGTGAAGGCTCTTGCCGTCATACACCAGAAGATAACTCAGAGCAGGGAACTCTGGAAGAAAAGTGTTATTTTTAAAATGTGAAAAACTGTCACCGTTTTTGCTACTAGTAGGGAGGTTCTGCCCCGAGTCTCTTCCCAACGTTCCCTGTCTATCAGAAAGGCAGACAGTAGCCACCCAGGCTGGGCCAGCCGCAGAAAGAGCTGCACGTGGGCTTTTCTGTGTTGGCAGAACGTCCATGGTGAGCCATCTGCATGTGAATTTCCATTTCCAAAAGTCGTCAGCAATAGTAAATGCCTAGAAATCACGCAGATGGATGGAGCTGGTGTGAAGAGGAACAACTTTGACATTGTTTCCTTCCACGAACCTCTTAATTAATTGCTTCCACTTTAATGGAATAATTATGGAACACAGTTTTAATGGCATGTGGCCACAACTGTAAAGAGGATAAAGCTGTGTCCTCCAAATACAGCTCAGCATCTTTGTTCATACTTAGAAATGTGCAGCATTCTTGTTTGTGTATTGAGAGAGATTTAATTCTTACTTTGGTTTTCATGTCTGTTTACTGCAGGAAGCAGACAGTATGAGCATGACCAGTGGAGAAGGTACTAGTCAACCTCCAGGTAAGTTCATCACCTGCATCTCCAGAAGAAATCAGTCACATGTCTGTCTTAATAACATAAATCTTCCATATCAAGTACCAAAGTAAACAGAACTCAGATATTGAATCCTGCTGACCTGGTGCCGAGTTAACTTGGTTTCAAAACACTCTTGCTTCCTCCAGAAAGAGTATGGAGAGAAAAAGAGGCACACCTGGACGCAGAGCCCTGCCAGCGCCCTCCTCTGCTGTTGCAGCTGCAAGGAGACCATGCCTGTGGGAGCCAGGCCTCGCTTGCATGAAGAAGGAACGATGCCTTTTTCAATGGTGTCTCCCTCCCATTGTGCAGAAGAGCTTTTGTTGGCTTCTCTCCCGAGCTTGTGCCTGATTCTGTGGCCCAAAACAATCATTGTTAACATCTTCATGTGTTTCATTCTGATCTTTCATTCATATATATGATGCCTAGCTAATTTCATTTTAAAATAAATGGGAATCTGTTGTATTCTGATTTTTTATTAGCAACACTAGATTATGAGGGGTTATCTCCTGTTATTAAAAAGTCAGAAAACACTATACAGTAGTCCTCCCTTATCTGCGGGGGAGACATCCCAAGACCCTCAGTGGATGCCTGAGACTGGATAGTATGGAATCCTACATATCTATACCTTGGCTTTTTCCTCTACGTACATACCATGATAAAGCTTAACAAAGAACAGTGAGAGATTAACAGCAACCAATAACTAATAAAAGCTATGTGAATGTGGTCTCTGTCAAAATATCGTGCTGTAATCACCCTTCTTGCTATCTGAAAACCAAGAAGACCACTAAGTGACTAATGGTCAGAGAAGCTGGATGAGGGGCTGATTCATGTCCTGGGCATGACAGAGCGGGAGGCACAAGGTTTCATCACACTATTCACAATGGCGAGCAAGTTAAAACGGATTTCCCATTTAATTTAATTTTCAGACTTCAGTTGACCATGAGTAACCGAAACCACAGAAAGTGAAGCTGGGGATATTTCAGAAATTCTTTTCTAATCAGAAATTCTAATCAAACATAAGTTTCCAACTATGTGTTCTCTTGGTCCTCAGAAGTGTTTGAATAGAAAAGTAACAACTAACTTCCCATCTTTCTGGTGGAAGAGTTAATTCTGCCTGGAGGGTTCTGCCTGGGAGACATGACAGCATGTGTGTGACTCCTGTGTCTGTTTCTGTGGGGTCATCCCTTTCGTTTCATTTTGCCAGGGCCTGGCTCAGGATTTTTTATGGCAGTGCCTGTGAAGACAAGCCTGGCCCTCCATCCAGTCACACAGGAAATCCACAGAGAGCATGCTGAGAGCAGCCAGCGGCTGGGCTGCCATCAGGCCTGGTTTATGATGCCACAAGTGAATGGCACGTTTGTTCCTCTTTATCTCTGAGCATTGAAGGACTTTTGGTTAAAAAAAAAAATTAAGTTCAGAGTAATCCTTTTCATGGAAGAATCTTCAGGTCACCAAAGAATTGAAATTTTAAGCCCCAGATTGTACTGAGCTGTACCTGTGGGAAAAGGAATGGCCAGGGTATTGATGATGGAAAAGATTCAAATGAGGAGTTAGAAGGCAAGCCCTCTGTGGGCAGCCGTCTTCCAGAAACCTCGAACTTATGTCTGTCTCCACCTGAGAAAGGAGAAGAAAAGCTGGTGGTGACCCCTGCTCCTGCTGGGCCATGCCATGGCTCTGAAGATGCCCCGTGTTCTTAGGAGGTGCTCACCCCTGGCACCTAAAGACATTTCCTTCTGGTTGTTGCTCTTTAAAAACAAAATAAGCCCCTGAACGTGCTTGCAGGCCAGTTTGTGTGCCTGCACTTGACGAATTACCTTGACCAACGGGCCAAAGGCACAGAGCTCCAAGGCATCATCTTTCCTTAAAATCCTGAGTGTTTATTAAAAAGGGACATGGTCTCTAGGTATCTTATTACATTTGTATTTCTTACATTTGAAATATCCTAACCGCTCCCTTCGGTTTCTTCTTAAGAACATTTACATCTAATTATTTTTCGTGCAAGTCTTGTAGGACCCACATGTTTTCCTAGCTTTGGAAATCGATTTTTTTCATTCCTCTTATGAGGATTTCCCTATGTCAGTAAACATTAACTTTCTATTTCTTCCATTTTTGCTCATTTGAAACCCCTGCTGCTTCTAGATCTATTTCTTTGCACTTGTATAACTTTGAAATAAATTCCTCATCCCTTAGACTAAGAGAGTGGGTGTCTGTGAAAATTGTTTTCTCCTTCATAATACCTAAATTCTAGTTTGTCAGTAAAATATTTGTGTTTGGTTAACAAGCTCTTATTTAAGCCATTGAGTTAGTATAATCTTTATTACCTTTGAAAAACCAGAGAGCTGAATTTTTTGTCATTCTAAGTTGTAAGTAACACTGCAGTCAAGTCTTCTGATGAAATTTCCATATATCAAATTGAAAATAAAGCAAAATATATTTATTACTCATAACTAATATACTTTCACATTTCTCTGATTATTTGTAAGACATTTCAGCATGTGGATGTGGGGAAGGGTGAGCCTGCCCCAGAAACATCTCCCTGCTGCCACCATGGCCACGGCTCGGCAGTCTCCCTTCACTGACTCCTGAAACTCCACGTAAATCTACCATCACCCACCCCTTCTTTGACCGTTCCCTGCACCTTCTTGCTCACAGAAAGCTGGTGTTTCCCCCATTCCTCGGTGCATAGAGCCGACACCCCTCACATTCTTGGCCTGTTTCCAGGCTGTTGTAGTTGCTTCAGCACGTGGTGGTGCACAACACCCATTCGATCGTGCTCATAGATTCTGGGCGTTGAGTCCAGGCAAGGCATGGCAGGCACCACCTGTCCCGGCTCCCACGTCTGGGCTTGGCTGGAAGACCTGGAGTCAGACGAGTCTTCGTTCTCGCCTGTATCTGGCTCATGCTGGCTCTTAGATGGGGCTTGTGTCTCTCCATGTGAGCCTCTCATTGGTCCTGAAGACTAGTTAACTGATAACTGGATGGTAACTGGATTCTGAACACAAGCTTTCCAAAGGCTAAAGAGCCAGGTAGAAGCCATGTTACTCTTTATAGCCCAGCCTCCGAAGTCACAGCATCCAGCATCTCTTCTGCCATATCCTGTTCATCAAGGCAAACAAAAAAAAAAAAAAAAAACCAGTCCAAATTCAGAGATGAAGTAGCTGCTTCCTCTTGGCCAAGCAGGACAGAGTCCCAGGAAATCATGTGAGACCAGAAGTATTACTATGGCCATTTTTGGAAAATATGGTCTGCTGCACACACCATTTCCCCTTCTCCATAAAAGCCACAAACTTGGAATCTCATCATCCAACCTTGCCACCCACCAGTCCTCCCTGTTGGCCTTTGGGTTCCTGGCTGTCACTCTTCCCAGTATGACTCTTGTAATAATTTCTGGCAGCCTTAGTATCCTGCAGCTAATCCTTCTGGTGCCCTGCTCTCAGTTCCTTGATGTCCCCTCCCAGTGATCTTGTTCTCCACCTTTGGCCTTGTAATTACCAGTTACTCAACTCCTTCGCAATCTCAGTCCCCAATACTCACTCTCCAGCCACACAGGTCATTACCTCTGGCACATGGTGATTCCTCCGTCAGACAGGAGCTGGTGCATTGACCCAGCACACTGCAGCCGAGTGCCTGTCATCATTCCTGGTCCCTTCCTCACCTGTTCTACCCTATCTGCTGACTTCCGTGGTCAATGGAAGTGACTTTCTTATATACACTACATTGCCTCTCTCATTTTACTGTATCTATGTGGTAAAACCACACACCTAGGTTAAATCCAACTCTGCTTTTAGAATGTGGCTAGAGAAAATCCCACAGTCATCCTTACTGGTCCCACCTTAAATCCAGTGAGCCCTGGGTACTGCCCGGTGGCCATTCCCCACTTCCCCCTGCGCTCTTCAGATACTTGGTTCGTGTCCTCTGCTCAGCCTTCCAGCACTACTCCTGTCCTCAGTCACAGGTGACAACTTTGCTTTCTGTAAGTTCTCACAGCCCTGTTTGCTAGCCTTCAAGCATCTGCATCATCAAGTCAGAATTCATAAACAGAATACCAGTAGAAACAGACAAATCCACAACAGAGGGAGTATCTACTTTTTAACCTACCACATGGATGAGCTGACTCTGCCCCTACCTAAGGCCGTCTCTCCAGCTGTGAACCCAGGGTCCCTCAGCTGCTCAGACAGCCCCAGACAGCCCCTTGCCCCTGAGTCATCAGCGGTGTCCTCTCCATGCTGTCCCCCCCATCTTACAGAAAACCTCTGCAACCTGCTTCTCACTCCAGCAGCCACATCATGTTTCTTTACCTTTATAGAAAAATAATGCTGAGCCCAGAATCCTAAGGTCAGCCAAATTAGCATTCTACACTAAGGAAAAATTAACACATTTTCAGGAATCAGAAATTCTTTGACCCATAGAGCCTTTCCAAGAGAAAGTGGATAGCAAAATGAGCACATCTAACGGGAATACATGGACAATGAGAAACAATGTTGAGTAAAGAAATTAGTAAAATTTCAGTCATTGCTAAACAACTATTAACCCAAAGTGAAGAAGCCAAACAATTGGAGACTAAATTTCCATATTATTTCAAGGAAAGAGATGAATGAGGGCAATGAGGTAAAAAGAAAAATAAAAGCATACTAAATTTCTTACCTTGCTTAGAAAGGATACAAATTTTTATTAAATCTGGATGTTTTTGGAAAAATGTAAGTTTATGTATGTATGCTAAAATGTTAAGCATGCACATTAAAAGAAGAAAAGTAAATAATAAAAGGAAGGTCTTTATCATAACGTTCATGCATCTGGCATAATAAATGAAAATTACAAGCAAAATACAAGGAGAAATAGACCCAGTAATAGGACACTTAACATGCATTTCACTCTCAGAAATCAAAAGATTTTGTAAACCAAAAGAAATGACATACATTTGAGTAAGTCAGTAAACAAGCTTATTCTAATAGAAATATACAGAACAAATAGATGCCTTTTTATTAATATTCTCAAACACAAATGGACAGTTCACAAAATTTAACCATGTAGTAGACCCCAAAGTAAACCTCAATCAAAATACTGAAAAGCCAATTTACTGAAATCACACAAGCCTATTTTCTGCCCTTAAGACAATAGAGGCCAGGAGCGGTGGCTCACGTCTGTAATCCCAGCACTTTGGGAGGCCGAGGTGGGTGGATCACCTGAGGTCAGGAGTTTGAGACCAGCCTGGCCAACATGGAGAAAGCCTGTCTCTACTAAAAATACAAAAATTAGCTGGACGTGGTGGCAGGCGCCTGTTGTCCCAGCTACTCGGAAGGCTGAGGCAGGAGAATTGCTTGAACACGGGAGGCGGAGGTTGTAGTCAGCCAAGATTGCGCTACTGCACTCCAGCCTGGGTGACAGAGCAAGACTCTGTTTCAAAAAAAAAAAAAATACAATGATAAATCAACAACAAAAGGATAAAAAGCAAACATTTTTCCACTTAGAAATTGACTCACCATTTAAAAATATTTACTGAGGAAATCTAAACCAAAATTACTTTTAGAAATAGAAGTGTTACCTTAAGAAATTCATGGGAGGGGAATGATATCAGAGAAGATGGCAGAGCAGGAAGCACCAGAGATCCATATCCCCACCTAGACAAAAATGGCACAAAATGGCAGAAACTATCCAAAGTAACTATTTTGGAACTCGGGAGTCTACTTGACAACTTGCAGCTTCTAAGGGGAAGCTTGCCTGGTAAGTTATGGTTAGTTTCCATCAGTTTTGGATGCCTGGTTCCCAAGTGCATGGTAGACAGCCATGCACGCATTCCTGGTGCAGTTTGCTGGAGCCAGGATGAGCACTAAGGACCTTGTTCTCCAAATACCAGGGCTCCGTGTTGTGATTGCTGCTTTGGATCACTGAGTTCGAACAGAGACTGGGCACCATTGGTTCTGCCCACACTGGCTAAAGCACCTTCCATGGGATCTAAAGGAGTAATACCTGTGGGTTTCTGTGGATTTGTTTTCGCTTTTTTGGGAGTCAGGCATTTAAGGATTAGGACATTCAAGAGCAACCATATATAAGGGAAAATTTAGAAAGCCACAGCACATGGCCAGGGCAGTGACAGGCTCAGAAAAGACCTAAGAGAACTGAGAAGTTTTTCCCTCAGGCTGGTCTTCACCACAGAGGCACCCTTTAACAATCAAAAAGCAAACCCAAGGGGAGAAGGATTATCTGATTTCCAGAGGTACAACGTTATAAGATTCAAATGTCTGTTTTTCAACAATAAAATCACATGGCTACAAGAAACAGGAAAGTATGGCCCATTCAAACAAAGAAAAATAAATGGCAGAAAGTATTTCTGAAGAAGCCTAGACATCAGGCTTACTAGACAAGACTTTAAAACAGCTGTCTTAAAGATGCTCAAAGAAAACATGGACAAAGTCCATTGAAAATGTATGAACAAAATGAGAATAACTCAATAAAGAGATAGAAATTACAAATAGGATCCAAAAAGAAATTCTGGATCTGAAAAGAACAGTAACTGAAATGAAAATTCACCAGAGGAATTCAAAAGCAGAACAATAAAGTATTGAGCAGGCAATAAAGAATGAACAAACTTGAAAATAGGAAAATTATTGAGCCTGAGAAATGGAATGAAGAATGAAGAAACGTGAACAGAGCTTAAGGAACCTGGGGAACAGCAAGTGGACCAACACACATTTCAGGGGTCTCAGAAGGGAAAGAGAGAGAGAAATAGAATAAATAATTCTGAAAACTTCTCATATTTTATAAAAGACATATAAATCTTCAAATCCAAGAAACTCAACAAACTCCAACTAGGATAAACTTAGAAAGAGACTCATACCAAGACACATTATAGCCAAACCATTGAGGACCAAAGGCAATCCTGAGAGTGAGAAGTTACTCCTCAGAGAGATTACAAGGGACCTTCAATAGAATTATTGCCAGTTTATCAGCAACCTTGGAGGACAGAGAGCAATAGGTAGATACATTTAAAATGCCAAAAGAAAAAAAACACTGTCAACTGAGAATCATCTATCTGACAAGACTATCCTTCAAAAATGAAGGAGACACTCCCAAATAAACATAAGCTGAGGGAGTTCATTACCACTAGACTTGCTGTGCAAGAAATGCCAAAGGGAAATCGCTCAGGTTGAAATGAAAGGGCCCTAGACAGTAACTTGAAGCCACATGAAGCAGTAAAAAATCTCCAGTAGAGATAAATATATGGGCAATTATAAAAGCTAGCATTATTATAATTTTGGTTTGTAACTGCACTTTTTATTTTCTACATGATTTGAAAGACAAATGCATAAGAAACAACTGACTAATCTACATTATTGGGTTCACAGTGTATAAAGATGTCATCTGTTTCAACATTGTCTCCTACAAGAATTCATTAGCTTGATTTCCCAGCCTACTTACTCTTTTTTAATTTGAGGTTTAATTTTTTCAAAGTAAAACATTCACATAGTTTAGAGAGTCAAATAGTTCTATAGGCTGTTTTTAAAACACATCAGTCCCTTTCTGTGTTTCCCAGAAACACCTACTTATACTTTCAGCTTTTCAGATGATTGTTTCCTAATAATCTGTGTATTTCTAAATAATATTCCTATTGCTATGTCTTTATTTTCTGTTTTAGGAATTACCTCTAGTGCTCACTATAGACATCAAAGGATTTCCTCTCTTGCCTCTCATCTCACTGCGTTTCCCAGTTCTCCCGAATGGTTTTAATTTTACTTAGTTTATAGTACTATTTCCATGAAATCACTGTTCACAGCTAAACTAAATAATTATAATTACTTTTACTTTTTCACTTATCATTTGTTTTTCCCGAGATTCTTGTTTTTTTTTCTGTGGGTTTATTTAGTTTTCTATACATTTATCATAATTTCAGTTCTCAGTTATAGAAATCTCATTTCAGTATACCTATACATTAGGTATCCTGTCAATTTCATCTTCTCGACATATCTTCTGCTCACTGGCCCAACCCTGCCTTGTGAGCTGTGGCTGTTATCCCTCTCTCTGGAGTTGGGGCCCTGAGTCCCATACAATCCTCTTTCTTGATTTATTTCCTTCTCCTGAGAAAAGAGGAGAATAGGGAATATGTTTTTGAGGCCTTGCAGGTCTGAAAATGTCTTTATTACACTTTCATATTTAATTGAAAGTTTACCTGGTTGTAGAATTCTAGGTTGGAAATAATTTCTTAGAATTTTGAAGGCATTGCCTCATTGTCTCCCTGCTTCCACTGTTACAGGCAGGCATCTGATGCTTTTCAGGTTGTCGATGCTTTTCTGTACCAATATTTTCTCCCTGGATGTTTATAAGGTCCTCTGTTTGTCCCTATTTGTGTGAAATTTTGTGATGAGAGGCCTTAGTGTGGGTTTGTTTCTACCTACCATGCTGGGCACTCTGTAGAATTTTCAGTTTGGCCCCTCAGTCCTTCCATCACAGAACACATATCCTAGCAACTTAAATTGGCCTGACCAGATGGCGGTGTGATTGCCTCAGTTCATCTTTGACTGTTAGCCTCATTATTGTAGAGAGTGTCCAATCAAACCGTCCTACCTGAGCAGAAAGTGCAAGTGGTGTCTTCGCCACAGTTTCTGTCCCATCCTTAGCATCCTTGGGAGGAGGAAAATGGGTGGGAGGGTGTCTGACTTCTTCCCAGGTGGCCTTGTTATAATTTTCTGGAAACTTCTTCCAGAATCCTTCTGTCTTGCCTCTTTCTGCTAAGCCTCCCTTCACAGTAGAAGCTGGTTTTGGTGTGCTGCCTCTATGTCAGTGAGCTTCCTACCCCTGTCATCCAATTCTCCACTTAAAAGACACAGCTCTTTCCATCTTTTCCCAATATTGGAAGCTTCCGCTTCAGAACCAATGTTCAAGATTTTGCATTACTGAGATTTCACTGCATTTACTTCAACTTTCCATGTCTTTTATTTGCCAACTCATCTCTGTCATTTCCCCTCTACAGGCTTGAGTATGTGACTCTGACCTGTGGTGAGGAAAGTGTTCTCCCCCACTCTTAAGGAGGTTGGGGTGGGTGAGCTTCCTTTTGAAAGGACCCAAGTGTGGCTGCCCTGTGGTCCTGGGGCACCTGGCAGTCCAGCCTCTTGGTGCTTCCAGTAGAGGATCCCATGGGAGAGGCCCAGCCCCTAGAGCCCTCAAGCCCCACCTCCCATTGCCAGTGCTCCTGTCTGCAAAGGTAGCAGTGACATAAAGCTAATTTATTTCTTTCAGATCTGGAAAAGTTTTCTTGAATGATTTCTTTGATGATTTTCTGCCCTCCATTTTATCTGTTCTGTTCCCCTTCTCAGAGGTCAGACACTATATCATAGTTCTGTAATGATCTTATATTTTCTCTCTTAATATCTGTCATTTTGCCCTACTTTCTGGGAAGGTTTCTCAACTTTATCGTTCATCCCTTCTATTAATTCTTTAATTTTACTGTTTCTAAATTGTGAAAGCCCAGACTCTTCCTTTTTTGTTGGAAAGTCTTTGTTTCATGGCCGCAGCACTTTGTCTTCTATCTCTGAGGAAATTGTGTCAGTAGTTTTATTTTGTTATTTCATAGTGTCCTTTGTAGATACTATTTTTACCAAGTTTCTTTTTCTGTTTATTTGGTTGTTTCGGTCTGTTTTCATTTTCAGTTTTTTCCTCCAATGCCTGGTGATTCTTGAATGTCTTGTGTTGTGTAGGAGCTGGGCTTTAAAAAGGTGGCCAAAAACCTGCCTGCCTGGTTGGGCCTTCAGCTGTCTTGTCAGTCATGGGGTCCTTGGGGAAGTCCTGATCCTAGAATTCTTAGCTCTTTCATGGTGGGCTGTCAGTTTCCTTAGATAAGAGTCCTCTGGTCTGTTCTTGGAGACACAAAGAGAATGATACAGTTTAGAAATTCTAGAGAAGCTCTGAGCCTTTGAAACTAGGGGAGGATAGGAGGTGACAGAGGAGGGCCTTGGGACGATCTCTAGGCTTCTGACTTGAGTTGGGCTCAGATTCCGCTCCCCCCCCCCACCCTCCCGCATGACCTTAGGAAACGCAGGGGAGGAGGACACAAGCAGAGGAGAAAGACACAGCTTTGAGGACCCCTATGGCTGGGCAGCTGGTGTAGGGCCAGAGGTCTTGGCTCAGTGTCTGCCGCCTGTTAGCACAGGGCGTGGGCAGGACAGCCACCTTGAATCTGCACGTGTGTCTGAGAGGATAACACCTCCCCCAGGATTAAACAAGAGAATGTGTATCCATAAAGCATCTAGCCTTACACAGCACGGTGAGCAAACACCACCGTATTCGCAGTGGCACAGCTTCTTTCCAACACTAGAGGCGCGCAGGCCCGTCAGGCTGGACACAGGCATGGCAGGGACTGGCACCACTCAGGAATCTTGTAGAGACCCAAGAATAGAACCTGGGAACACCAGCACTCATGGGTCTATTGGAAAGGGTGAGTCTACAAAGAGGGGCAGGGAGAAAACTGATCACACAGCACCACAGGCCATTAGAAAGGGCACATCCCAAGGAAAGACATGCGGTGTCCCTGAGATGCCAGTGATCCATAATTAGTCATAGGTTAAAATGGCTGAAAATGTGATCTTTGGTTTCAGCAATTAGGAGATCCATAGTGATGGCTTCGATCTTCCTTTCAGGAAGGGAGGGAGCAGGTCTGAAGGGCATTCTAGAATTAGGTCAGATATGTACATAAAAAATAGAACAGTTTTCCCAACCAATCTTAACATTTCTTACAAATCCACAGATTGGTCACTTTGCCACATTTACACACACCTGGAGTTCAGCCAGTGTACTCAGAAAGGGAACTACAAGTGACAGATCCACAAGTCCACAGTCGACAGATGCTCAGCCTCAGCCACTTGCCTTTCCTGGGGCTGCGTCCCACGCCCCAGACCCTCCTGTTGCAGCCTCACTCTCTACAGGATGAGGGAGAGGTTGATTCTGTCACCCATCCCAGGAGTCAGCTTGGACTATCACATGATTGCTGGTGTTTTAGGTGGCCCAGCTGATACCTACTTGCCGGAATAGGACAGAACCCTTTCAGGGCTGAAGAAAGCATTGTTTAAAAACTTGGACATTGAACATAAAGTCAATACATCTTGCTTATTCTACAATCAAGGCATATGATGAAATTCACCGTGCATTTTACACAGATGCCCAGTACAGATGTGTTGCGTGGCATCACGTGGACGTGGCTTAAGCTGCTCTGCTGTGCTGTGCATCCTACATGCAGCAGTTAGAGTGGGGCTGACTCTTAGAACAACAAGGAGTTGAAGCAGAGTGGAGACACAGCTCAGGGGGCTTCAAAGGACCTTCTGGCAGACACTTCATCAAAAACAACCTGCTGGCCACATAACAGTCTCACTGATCTTCACCCTTAAATACAATGATTGTGTTTAACTTAAATATTTGTAAATTTTTACATAAACATGGTGAATGTGTTTTCAGAAAAGAATAAAGAAAGGAAGAACCATCTTCCTGTGGTCAGCAGAGGTTTGTGCTCTACTAAGTAGCTGAGAGCAGCCTCTGTGAGCTCTCTCCTTTGGAAAGGTGGAAAACAGCAGGAACACCTCTCCTCCATTCCACATGTGCCCTGGCCACATTTGCAGCACCAGCTCAGCATGCGGTGTCCTCTGACAGCTGCCCTCAAACCCGTCACCCTTGGGTTAGGATGCGATTTCATGCAAGTCATTGTCACACTGGCTGGCTTGATACATACGTGTCTGGTGCAAGTTTATGGAGATGTGCACATCAGTGCATATGCTGTGACTTCTTGTTTAAGTTTGTCTTCTTAGAAATGCCCTTGTCATTAGCTCATGAGCTCTCTATTGGAGAGAGGAAGTGACTGGCCTGACTCGGGGCTCATAGAAGATGACCTGGTGGCACACACAGGGGTGGGCAGGAGTGTGCCCGAGGCCCCTCCTCCATTCCAGCATTTCATCTGCCAGCGCCTCGGACGAGGCCACCACACAGAGGAAGCACTACAGCCTCACAGACTGAGGGCTTGGCGGCTCTCCTGGGTGTGTGGCAATGTCCAATAATGCAGCCTTGTGACTTCTTCTTCTACAAATGGTCTGCTATTACTCGCAAGAAAACATAACTGTTTGCTTTTGGTTTTCATCAAGACCTGTTACTAAAGTTCGAGAGTTGGTAAGGCTGTAGGGCTTCTAAGACAGCCCTCCCAGGTGACAAGCGGAGTCCAGTGAGGTTTGCATGGGGTATTGTGACAGCGTCATCACCTGGCTCAGCTCTGCACTCGGCCACCCTTGGTTTTTGACTCCCTAAGACAGTGTCATCATCCTCAGGGAAGTGGGTTTGCTGCAGTTCAGGATTTCTCCAATTCAACTCATGTGTACATTCCCTTGGAAAGAAGAAAAAGTGTGGAGTCCTGTGTTGATTTGTGATTGCTAACCTAATGTTATTTAAATATGTGCAAACATAAATTAGATTCCTTATGCTTAGGGTTCTTTCTTAATACAACTTTCAATCTAAGGCATCACAGAAGTGAAATGAAAACAAAATTATAAACACACACTGTTGTTGCCACAACCCCCAGTAGCTCTCCGGGCCAGCCAGTGGCTTCTGAGGCCAACCCATGAGCTTCACCCAGGAAGAGGGCTTCACACCCCATGATGGTTGACTGGAACCTCCTTCTGGGGGCTGCAGGGCAGGGGACAGCAGAGCAGAGAGGCCCAGGGAGGGGCCAGGTGTCAGGAGCTGCAGAAGCTTAAGACTGTGCCCAGGGCACCCACCATACCACCGTCTGGGCCCTGTTCCTTCCTACCCCTCCTTCCCCACGTACCTGCGATGTGAGCCTCACCTGAGCCAGAGCACCCCCCGACGTGCCACCCAGCTGCACGCCAAGTGTTGACTAAGGTCGGTGGTACCGGGGACAGGATTGCGAGGGGGACCCTGCTTCATCTACATTGTTTAAATGTCTGCAGCAAGAATGACTTCATGCATCATGTGATTGAAGATACAGAAAAAGAGGATGGCCAGCAACCGTTTGTAAGCCTCAGATAAAGTGTCAATTTTTAAAGTACTCATTGCTTGGATTTAATTAATCGGACTTTTTTTTCTTTAAGTTTCAGCACCCTAGGGACGTGTATGTTAACTTTTTTCATCCATTGAACTTTTTGTTTAAACTTTCAAGCTCTCAGAAAGAAAACTAAGTAGGCCCTGGCATTTCCTGACTGCCACACAAATGCCTACCTTCTGTGTGTGGTGGGTCCATCTCTGCTCCCATGGTATGGAAGTAAGACCTGTGACCGTGAGCTGGCTGCACACACATGTGGCATGTGGTGTAGCTTTCACTTACTTCCATCTTCTCAGAAAGAGCTGCACTGTGGCCCCAGCTTTCCACCGTGCCAAGGCTCCTTACACGCATCCTCATTTTTGGCTTCAGGAGGAGAAGGCGCATGGCTGGGTCACGTGCTCACTCAGCAGAGGAGGCACTGGCCACTTCTGTGTCCTCCGGATGCCCCTGCTATAGGGAGAGGCAGCAGCACATGCGGGTCATCTTCCCAGAAGTCGGCGGCTCTTGGGGTTCTGGAGCATTGAACTTCCTCCTGTTTGATGCTACATTGAACCCCCAGGGTACAGCCTCGTTCTCACCATCTGCTTCCTGTCACACAAGCAAGAGCTGCTGGGTGCCTTTTCCATCTTGGTTCCCATTTTCCAAATGGTCCCAGAGGGACTTAGTAAAGCATTAGAAGAGCCCAGAGGCTGGAAGCAAACACAAAATTGACCATGAAATTTAGTCAAACGGTGATGAAATTTAGTCAAATGTTGATGAGATTTAGTCAGTGATGAGATTTAGTCAAACGGTGATGAAATTTAGTCAAACTGTCTTGAAACCAGCCAGTCATTGGAAATGCCCTGATTTCTTCCTTTTCCCTCACGTTGAGCCAAGTGCACGAGCTGGTCCTGGCTGCCTGGAAGGCTGCTGGCCATGTGCCTCTGCAGCCTCCCGTGCCGTCCTCGGGCCCCGTGGCCTGTGCTCCTGCTCCAGCCCCCATTTCCCTGACGGCCCTTGCTGCCTGCATGGCTGATTTTGCTCCTGCCATTGCTGCAGTAACGAAGCGCAGTGGGAAAGCCCCTCAGCCTGTAGAAACAGCCCTCGGCGGCCGGGCGCGGTAGCTCACGCCTGTAATCCCAGCACTTTGGGAGGCCGAGGCTGGCGGATCACGAGGTCAGGAGATGGAGACCATCCTGGCTAACACGGTGAAACCCCGTCTCTACTAAAAATAAAAAAAATTACATGGGCGTGGTGGCGGGCACCTGTAGTCCCAGCTACTCAGGAGGCTGAGGCGGGAGAATGGCGTGAATCCAGGAGGTGGAGCCTGCAGTGAGCCAAGATGCACCACTGCACCCCAGCCTGGGCGACGGAGCGAGACTCCGTCTGAAAAAAAAAAAAAGAAAGAAAAGAAAAGAAACAGCCCTTGGCTTGCAAGCTGTTCATTTTTCTGAAGGAGGAAATTGAAGGGTGAAATCAGCCTTTCTAAGAATCTGATTCATCTCATTATTGCCAGCATTATTAGATGTTAGATAAAAAACAGTTAATTTCAACCTTTTCTACCTGGCACGTTATCTGAACTAAAAAGAAAGAGAAGCAGCAGCCCTTCAAAAATAGATTTATCTTTATTTCTTTATGGCTTCCCAAAAAGTCTCTTTTATCTGTGGAAGCTGGAGTAAGAATAAACCCCATAAGACACATTATGAGAGACTGAGGTGATTTCTGTTGGCAGCACCCACACCCTGGGTTGGGGTCCCTCAGGCCTCACCCTAACCAGGAGACAACCTGAGAACCCAGGGCACTGCGTCCACGTGTGACCGTGGACATCAGGAGAGCACCGGCTCTTCACTGATTACAGCTTTGCGTTTCCCCACGGGGGCCACTGAACTTTAATCACGTTTTCAATAAAACCAGATAAAGTAGTCAGGAAGGTCATGCGGGTCATATGTTTCCCCACTGGCTCTCTCTACGATTTCACTGTCTTCTGATCCCATCTTATATGAGACACATTTAATACCAAGAGTGAAAGGGGCCCTGGGTGTGTTTCTCGGTGTCCACTCAGCCCTCTGCCCCTTTGTGAGCATCAGGTTTATACGTTTTTATGAAATGGTGGGAGACAGGCTCTCCCTTGATGCAGTCCCTGTAGCTATAAAAATATGGACAATGCAGATAATTCTGTTAAATTAAGATACCAATTCGTCTATTAAATCAATTGCTTCCAGCCACAGCCCTTGTTATTCAAATCAAGACAAAAAAAAGTCTGTGGAGTGTGAGGAGGCAGCTGAACCTGTCTCTTCCAGAAGCTCCTCTGGGGATGAGAGATGGGCAGGAAGCAGCGTGTGTTTGTGACGGAGAAACGTGAATTCCATGTGAAAGGGAGTATGTTTTCTAACTTGGGGTTGGAGTTGGCTGTCGGGAAGCTGGTTCTGAGATGGTGGTGTCGGTGCTGGAGGTGCCACCCCTCGGGAGGCTGTCTGGGTTCTAAGGTGGCAGCACAAATTTACAGTTCTAGAACTGTATTTCTATCTGAAAGGGTTTAACAGTCAGATGCTCTTTTTTTCCTCAGAAATCCTCCTCTATCTTTGCTACTTTACAATATTCTGGGGTTTTGTACATTTCCTGGCAACAATTTGACCCTTCCATCTCAAAGCTGGTTTAAAGGAGCGTTCACCATCGGTTGGCATGAAGTGAGACCGAGCTGTCAGCTTTTCATAAAAGTTCTCCCAGCACAGAATCGGCTGACTCCTAAACTAAATATTTCTGCGTTTATATATTGCTTTCCTGTTATGTTTGGATACTGGAAGACTTTTTTCTCTTACGAAAAAGCAGCAGGCACTCATTGAGCCATGAGGGTTGCCAGGGTGCTGTGGGTAAGTGACCAAAGACAGAAATCAGACGGTCACAGACAACACAGCTTCTGTCCAACCCAGTTACCCTCCAGCAGCAGGTCTCATTCTCCTTGGTCTCAGACCCCTTTACACTTAAAAGTTATTGCAGATTACAGGTCTACCAGAAAAATTTTAAAATATGTATTTATTCATTTCAAAATATCAGTACAGCAACTACATGTTAATGTTGTTTTTGCAAAAAGACTCTATGTTTTCCAAAAAAAAAATTAAAAGAGCAGCATTCTTTTACACTTTTGCAAATCTGCATAATATCTGAATCCCATGAAAGAGGGCTGGGCCACATGCAGACTCCTGCAGTCAGGCCACGGCAATGTGTTGTTCTGCTGTTGAAGTCAAAAAGAAAAGTCAGGGAGGTCCTTGTTAGTCGCCTTTTCAGGCAACTGCGGACTCTTCCTTGATACCACATCAAAACTCAACAAGCCGTCATCCTCTAAAGACCACGGTGTAGAATCTGAAGCCGGTCGGTGACCGCGTGCCTGCTGCTGTATCACAACACGTTGGTCTGTCCTGCACTTTGAATGAATCTTTTTCCTGTGAACATCATGTTTGGGTCATGTGGAAAATACTGGTTCACTGAGTTACGGAGATTTTCCAAATGCTGACACAGTTCAACAGATGGTATTTTTAAAATCACGTGTACAACGTACAGGGCCTCGTACGTTGCAGACCGGTTGTGTCCACAAGCGTGCTGCCTGTGCCGGATGCCAGGGCCCAAAGATGAGTCTACCTGGGCCTGCCCACCAGAAGCTCATTCTTGGGCAGGGCAGACAGTAAGACGGGCGACCCATGTGGGCGAGGTGACAGCACGGACTCAGGTAACCGGAAAAAAGAAGACGGTGGCGTGCGCTGTGAGCCGGGTGGGCGGGATCCGCGCGTGCGCTGTGAGCCGGGTGGGCGGGATCCGCGCGTGCGCTGTGAGCCGGGTGGGCGGGATCCGCACGTGCGCTGTGAGCCGGGTGGGCGGGATCCGCGCGTGCGCTGTGAACCGGGTGGGCGGGATCCGCGCGTGCGCTGTGAGCAGGGTGGGCAGGATCCGCACGTGCGTGTGCTATTGAGGACCTGCGTCCAGTGTGCGGGAGGCGGAGATGAACCCACAGAGCAGGGCGCCTGCCCTTGAGGACCTGCGTCCAGTGTGCGGGAGGCGGAGGTGAACCCACAGAGCAGGGCGCCTGCCCTTGAGGACCTGCGTCCAGTGTGCGGGAGGCGGAGGTGAACCCACAGAGCAGGGCGCCTGCCCTTGAGGACCTGCGTCCAGTGTGCGGGAGGCGGAGATGAACCCACAGAGCAGGGCGCCTGCCCTTGAGGACCTGTGTCCAGTGTGCGGGAGACAGAGATGAACCCACACAGGAGGGCGCCCGCCCTGGGCAGCAGCAAGCCTTCCCCACCCACCAAACAGAACCTGGCCCACGAGTGTTTCACCACCAGGTCTGATCTGATTTAGGAGGGCTGTGGGGTTGTCCTGATAAGTCAAATTTTGTTAAAAACGTGTTCTTAGAGCCGTGGCATTGGCCACACTCTGGGTGTGAGACTGCAGGGTGCTCAAAGGGTGTGGCCCTTCCCGGTCACCTTCCTCAGTCCAGACGTGCCTCTGCCACTCAGAGTGCGTGCCAGGCCCAACCAGCCGTGGCCCTCGGTTCCCTGGGGTGACAGGAAGGGAGAGAAAAGCACATCAGGTAGGCAGGAGCAGGGGAGAAGGCAGCTCCACGTGAACTGTAATGAGACAAAGAGGGCAGGAATCTCGTTTTAAAAGTCACAGAAACAAATGAATTTTAACCTTTTTCTCACAAGATAACCCTCCTGCAACATTTCCTTTTCTTCGTTTTCTTTGCTTTCATGGTTATGCTGGGTTGGAACATGCCCTGGCTACAAATCATAGTAGGCCTTTGATAGACTTTAAAAATGGCCAAATGAAATACAGAGAATATAAAGGATTCAGAAGTAATTAATTCAAAACTACAACCTACTTTGAAACATTTATGCAGAGAAATTCGTTGTTACAAAAGAGGGTCAGGGCCGGGCGCGGTGGCTCACGCCTGTAATCCCAGCACTTTGGGAGGCCGAGGCGGGCACATCACGAGGTCGGGAGATCGAAACCATCCTGGCTAACACGGTGAAACCCCGTCTCTACTAAAAAATACAAAAAAAAAAATTAGCTGGTCGTGGTGGCGGGATCCTGTAGTCCCAGCTACTTGGGAGGCTGAGGCAGGAGAATGGCGTGAACCCGGGAGGCGGAGCTTGCAGTGAGCCGAGATCGCGCCACCGCACTCCAGCCTGGGCGACAGAGCGAGACTCCGTCTCAAAAAATAAAATAAAATAAAAGAGGGTCGGTGCATTCACGATCTGACCCTTTAATCCCATTGCTGTTTTCTGCACCGTTGGTCTATCCCCTTCTTTTTTTTTTTTGGAACACTCACACGCAATCACCCGGCTGAAAGATGGTTAGAAAAAGAAATTATGAAGAGCCTGGAAAATCCACAAACCAGACAGTCAGCCCCTGAGGCGTGGAGACGCCTTCCCTTCCTGGGTTTCTGGCGCGGGCGCAGACCCTTCCCCAGCCTGGAGGGCGCTGCCGGTGTCAGAAGCGGAGGTTTCGGAGGCGGCTGCAGCCTCGGAATAGCCGGTCACAGCCACTGCGCTGCTGTCGGTGAAAGGCAGCCCGGGACCTGAGGCCAAACGCAAGCTCAGGCCGCAGCTACCAAGGGAACCTGCCTAAGCGGGCGGCACAGAAGGGAGCGCCGGGGACGCTCTGGTTTTCAGATCCCCTTTCGGAAGGTGAGATTGTTTTTCATAACAGGCAAAGGAAGATAAGCCCCGCGCCCGGCGAAACCCTGGCCCTCCCTCGCTGCTGCCTCTGGCCCTGTGTGCAGCTGAACGCAGCTCTTATTTAAATCATGTTGAGGAATTAATACTGGTGCACTGACAGGTTTTTTCTAATACAAAGTTTAATAACCGCTTAAAACAAGCCAATAAAGAAGAATGAGATGTTTTTAAAATCAAGAATTTGACCTGGCTCAGTATCTCACACCTATAATCCCAGCACTTTGGGACACTGAGGTGGGGGGATCACTTGAGGCCAGGAGTTCGAGACCAGCCTGGCCAACATGGCAAAACCCAGTCTCTACTAAAAATACAAAAATTAGCCGAGCATGGTGGCGGGCGCCTGTAATCCCAGCTACTCCGGAGGCTGAGGCAGGAGAGTCGCTTGAACTCAGGAGGAGGACGGAGGCTGCAGTGAGCCGAAATGAATCCACTGTACACCAGCCTGGGTGACAAAGTGAGACTCTGTCTCTAAAAAATAACAAATAAATAAAATCAAGAATTTACTAAGCATAACGTAGTTTAATGTTATCCTCATCCCTTTGAGATGTGTTACAAAAACATGTCTGATGGGAGCTCGAGAGCCACGAGTCCCTTGTCCTGTTTTCAGTGAGTGTTTTCTCCACACCCCTCCCCGGCCCGGGAGCACAAACAGGCCTGGCCTTGACCTAAAGTCTCTCTGTTTTTTTTCCTACTGCACTCAGGCCCCCAATGGCTGCTCTTCTCTTCCTCTTTTGCCTACTAGCTGGAACAGGAATTTAAATCCAAGAAGCCTACCTCCTGCACAGGACACAGGTGGATGTGAGGGAATGGTCTGGGTGGAGCTGCCCTGGCTGAATGTCTGCAGCTGTGCCAGCTGCCTAGGCACGTGAGGAGGGCGGCCAGGCTGCCTCACAATCTCTGGCTGGTCGTCAGTGGGCTGGATGGGTGCAATGGCGGTGTGAGGACACAGGACAGTGGAGGCCGTAATCCACGTCCCCTGAGCAACCTTTCACGCAGCCACTCTACACTCCCGTGTACCAGAGAGCTCTGCCCCACCCAGAGCAGGACCTGTGTCCTGAGAAACCACCCAGCAGCTGTGGCTTCTCCCAAAGGCCTCCGTCCCAAGCCGCCGGTTGTGTGGTTGCATGGCTGCTGTGGTGGCATTCTTAAGGCCTGAGGAAATATGCGTTGAAATGCACACAGGCCTGGGCTGGGGGAGCCCAGGAAAGTGCTCCAGCTCCTGCATATTCCTGGATGAGTTTCGCCCCCCCGTGGTTCCTGGCTGCTCCAGTTCAGCATCCTCTTGTGCCCAGCTGGCTTAGAGTTAGCCTAGAAAAACACAGTTGAGGAAGTAAATCTTCCACTGAGTAAGGGTATACATTCCAAAGTCAAATAAAGGGTGATGGATTAGAAGCTGTCCCCTCCAGTGTGGCTGCCTCCCAGAAATCACACATTCTGAACCATGGAGGTGTCGAGCACAGACCGCACCTCCACCCGCAGGTTGCCCTCTTCAGACACCAGCTCAGGCTAGAGGGCAGGCAGCGACAATGTACCTGGCCCCTGAGCACTTAGACCTACCGGCTCAGGTCTGTACTGCCCTGCTTGGCACAGATTCCCCAAGGGCAGGGTTCTGTCCTGTGCACGGCTGAGTCTCCGCTGCCTTGTGGAGCTTCTGGCACATTCTTAGTCATTTGAAAAGCTATTGAATGAAGGAGCCCATGAGGTATGTGGATTCACCTTGGAAGGAGCAGGAGCTGTGGGTCACCACAGATGGCCATTCTAAGACTGCCCTTGCCTGGAAGCACAGAACAACTCAGTGGGCAGTGTCCCCAGGCACACAGGGACCCCCCGCCCCCAGCCCAGATGCTCCCAAACATCTAGAAACACGGTGATCCCAGCTGCTCTGTGTTTCAACAGGAAGGATAGAGGCTCATGAGAGCCGGGTCTGTGTCTCAGCAGGAAGGACAGAGGCTCATGAGAGCTGGGTCTGTGTTTCAGCAGGAAGGACAGAGGCCCATGAGAGCCGGGGTCATGGGGGAAGCTGGGGCAAGGAATCCACAAGGGGTGTGTCAGCTCCTCAGGGAGACGTGGTTCTGTTTTTCTTTTCATGTGGTTTCATGGAAAATACCTTGATGAAAACTATCAGCAAAAGTCAAAGAACTTTTTACAGGAAAGAAAATAAATGCACCAACTCATCTACCTGCATATCAGACGTGATCCCATCAAACGAGGAGGGCCACAACAAACAGAAACCCCCCATAAAGAATGTCTACTTTCCATAAGTGAATAAAGTCACAAAACATATCACCTGATGATCGCCATTTTCATTTCAACGTCATCCTTCATTAAGTTGTCTACACAAGTTTTATTCCGTTCTCTTAACCTGAAGCTTGCTTTTAAAAACAAAATCCACGAACCCATCGCACATGCTAAGCAGTTACACTCCTGGATGGCCAGGAGCTTGTTCAGGTGTTTATTCACTCATTCATGGTTTTTGGAGCAATTACTGTGCCCAGTGCTGGGGCAACAAAGGCAAGAGACAGTTCTCACCTTCAAGTTGCTCCCAGGCTGGCTCTGCTACCCAAGAGCTACAAACAGAGATCTTCCTGAACTCGCCTTTTGGCCTCAGGATGATGTGGTATAGAAAAAATTCATTAGCAAACAGTCACCTAGAAATTTAGAGCTGTAACATTTGTTAAGGAACACACAGAAAAAGAGCACACATTGATGCTTTGAAACAAAATAAAAACTCATTGCATTATATTTGGTCTTAAGGTGTGAATTATGTGCAAGGACATCTGCTCCGTCAGTATTTCTTGAGTATCTAACGAAGGCAGGACACTTCATTCACTCCACATCTAAATTCATAACAGTGTTGACTTCATTGTTACTGAAAATACTGGAAAGAAACGAAAAACTATCAGATAAAAGTGTTCTCAGTTCTGAGCAGCAAAGAGACTATTAAATAATTAACATTTAGAACATTGATGGAAAATATTTGGTGTTTTCTCCCTTTTCCAAGTTAATCTAAAACAAGCCATAGTAAATGCCTCAAAACATGTTTCCTATGCCCTCCATGGAAGAGAAGCTGCAACTTGAACAGGTCCTCAGGGCCTCCTGTCACACTAGCCCCCTGCCTGCAGCATCAATTTCAGGAGTGGGGAGAGAGCCATGATGTCCATCCACATTGTTGTCCAAATGTCCAGAGTGAGTGCAACTGGGGTTGGGGTAATAGGCTGTCAACAGAAATAAACAGAGGGAGGCTCTAAGAGAAAATGACATTGATTTGGGAAATAGGACATTGCAATGAGAATACACGTGCCATTGTAGATTATGTGCACATTCAGGGAAGCAAAGAAGACAAAGGTTTTTAAGGGAAGAGTGAGGAGGAACCCAGGATTGTTTTGAGATAAGTATCCTTGGCTACAAAGATGAATAACAAGGGAGATTGCAGTTCAGTGCTGGACAGGCACTTGCTGGACAGATGTAGAAGAATTTTTTGTGTAAGGTTGCAATGGCGTTTGTGCAGGGTCATGATTTTTTTCAGTCTTTTGTGATTGTTCTTGTGCAGTGGCGCATGACCACCCTCCCTTTATGGTCTTTCCCAGCTCTATTTGTCAGAGCATTTCTTAACACAAGTGACTCCATTTTGATTTTGAATCTGACAACTTCCACATTTTCCGCTTTTGATCAAGGTCTTTCTCCAAAAGTATCACAAATCAATCCCGCCGTAGTGAGGTCTGATGTCCCCTGATGCCAAGATGGACCTGTCCTGGGCTGCTGGTCTGGTTCCACACTAGGGGTAGTGATTGGTGAGTAGGAGTCATTGTCAAAACCCTTTAGCCACATTTGAGCAACAAGGGAGGTTTGAAGGGAGTGGCTGTCAGGCTAAGTCTACCTGGAGTCTAGTATTACATTCAATTTTGTCTTTTTCCATAGTCTTCTGTTATCATCTCAAAGTGCTGGGCCAGCATTATTCTGTTAGGAGTTGTACTTCTACAAAAATTTAACAAGTAACAAATACAAAGTTTTAAAAGGGGAGATTCAAAGTAAAATTATTAGTAATGTGACTATCCTAGTCTGCATAATGGTTTTGAGCCATGAACCTTAAAGGCAGCCAACTGGATAAATCAATTGACCATGATCCCGTCAAGTGAAATAGGTGAGCTTTAAGAGGGTTAAAAGTCTTATTATGATACAGAGTTCTGTTCTAATGTCGGAAAAATCTGTCTACAGCATGGAACCATCCACTTCTCAGCCTGGTTTGCAGTTTGAATGTCTCTGGTTGTGGTACTGGGTGTTCCTCAAACATCAGACATATGACTTGTTCCTTAAAATTTATATAATTTCAGCTTACAGGGCTTCAGGAAGAGAGCAGTATTCAATTTTAGTAACTCTGGAAGAAAGTTGGATTGGAGGAATTAGGATAATTCAAGTCTAGTCTGTAGGTAGATAACAAGAGCTGGAAAACAATGCATAGAGCTACAATCTAATAAGAGGTGTATTACAGCTTTTCTTCAGAAACATTTTCTCCCTACATTTGTCGCACAGGATTCTCAGATTTAAAAACTTCTGGGGGCTAGGAAGCCAAACCAAAGCAGACTTTAGATTTTACTTATAGTCTTAAAGTTCCTGGGCCTGCCGGGAAGTGACCATTTTTACCTACTCACTGTAAATCCAGGAACCCTTGAAACCAGGCACTCTGTGCACATTCACGAGTATGACATAAGCAGTGTTTTAAATTATGTTCTGTTGTAAAGAGAGAGCTGATTTTTATTGAACTTAGCAAATCACTTTATTGCCATAAAAATACTCATGAATGATTTTCAAATTTTGGAGAAATCAGGAAGGGAGAAAAAAAACAAATGCTTCCATTACAAAAGTATGCTTTGCCAAATTGCTGTAAATTACAGATAGTTTAAGAGAGAAAATGTCATTACAGCTGGAAAGCAAGACATTTAAGTAAAGAACTAATAATGTTTTAAATAAAAATAACAAAAACATTATCAATTATTTAATCTCATGTGATTAATCTTTGTTCTGCTTGACCTGGAGCAGTTTCATGAGCCCACCAGTTTCTTCATTAGAGTTTTTTAAATATTGTATTTATTCCATTGATGTTAAAGTTATAAGAATCTATATGTAAGAGCACTTGTTGAAATCTTTTCCATGAGTCTGATTGCAGATGCTTTTAGGGGAGAATGTAAAACAATAACTGTAGATGACACTTAGAATAGCCATGGTTAAAACTCTGATGGAAGTTTATTATAATCAGTAAGTAACAAGGAAATAGAGTTATTTTTATAGCACATGACATAATATCCAGAATTAGGACTGATGACATATTAGAGTTCTATGAATTTATATAATTTTTGAAACATTCACATCCATAACATTCCCATAAATGTAACTGAATGATCTAGTGTCACTTATCATTTCACGATGCTTTCCATATAATTTATCGAATAAGCCTAATTATTTAATATCTCTACAAGATGAGAGATAACATTGTGTGAGGCTCTCCAGGGGCCCAACTAGAAAATTTCAAAGTTAATTCTAGACCAAAAAGACTTAATTTAGAATTTCAATCCTGGGGAAGCCTGCCAAGGATACAAAAAGGTTCAAAACACTCGACCAAAACAGAACCACAGGTCACAGTGAAATAACTTCATTTAACCAGAATAAAGTCATTTAACCAGAGTAGTAATCAAAAGACTTCAAAGCAATACAGAAAAGTACATGGATGTTAAAACCTTAACCCTTTTCAAGCTGTTTTCCTAAGTAACCAAAAACGTAATAGAGACAACACAGGAAATTGTCTTGGTAAAAGGTAAATCCACTGGGCTTTTTAAAGGGCCAGTTACCAAGAAGGTGGAGAAACCCTCCTGCACTGCGATTGCTCTTCCTTCTGGGAAGCCCATTTAGATATCTTGGAAATTGAATCTGATGAAAGGTACTTGAATTTAATTAAACACAGAAAAAAAAAATGTGTGTCCAAACTTATGAATGTGTCCCATATTGTAAAGGAGTATAAATAAGAAAACCAGTACCTTCAGCAAGTCAGAGTGCACGGCTCTTAGTGTCAGTATATGAGATTTCCTGGTTACATGGAACAATTCAGACTCATCAAGGAAAGCCAAGAGTACAGACTCAAGTTATACGGGGGAAAGCATTGCTTTTCCAGGCCTCCAAGGTAAACATTTCTGCTTCAGGCCCTCACAACAGAATTAGAGCTGGAGAAAAACTTTACAGGAGCTGATGAAGTTGGAGAGAGTTGTCATCCCAGGCCTCCTCGCGGGGAGGAAAGGAAGAGCAGAGGTTGATGATGCCTGGCCGGCAAGTCACGTGCAGTGAGATCCAGCAAAAGAGCCTGTGAGATACGAACCTGAGAGGCTTCAAGAGGAAAACGCTGCCTTGAGAAATGAAACTACTGTTCTGAATGAAAAAAGCAGGTCTAATCTGAAACTAGGGAAACAATGGAGACTGTAAAACAGAAAAGAGAGAAGCTGCTGTTAAGACCAGATCAAAATTTCAAAAAAACCTTGTTCTAACATAGAGTACCAAGTTTTTAGTTTTGTATTAGTGTATTTTTAATATTGAAGCTCAATCTTCAGAAAGACTTATAAATAATTTCCTTCTAATTATAGCCAACTTAATTCCTTTTATAAATTCATCCTTCACAAACCTCATCACAACTTATTCCAACGTTTGACAACATACTTAGAATTTCTGCTTTGTCCCCTATTTACTGTTTCTTAAATAACCAGCTGTTTTAAGACAAAAATTTCTACTCAAGATTTTTTCTTACATAAAATTATTCTTTTCTTTTTAATAGCCTTCCTCACCAAGAATGCATCTTCAAACCCATAACATTCCTCGTATCTCTCTCTCCTACTTACTGTCTTGCCTCTGTTTCCTACTTTCTGTCTTGCCTCTGTTTCCTTCCTAAATCCATATTTGGAAACAACCTTTAAATAACCTGGCAATTAGACAGAATTATTCTTTCTCTCAATAAAGAACCCATTTTATGCCTTTATCATTTTTCTAATCAAAAACATTTTCCTTTTTTGTATATTTTATATGCAGAATTATATATATATTAATTAGAATTTTAACTCTTAGTAACCTTAATTTCTGGCAAGCAATTTTGAACTATTTGTCACATATTGGTATTTTATAGATGAGAACAATTTTATAATTCTTAAAAATATGTTTCTCCATACAACATAATATTTTATGTATATTAATAAACCCAAATATATTTAGTCTTTCTATAAAATGTAAGAAGACAAGAACAAATGTATATTTATGTTTAGCAATTGATGTTTCAGGTTTTTAAATCTTATTTAGAAATGACCTAGACATTTAATGAATATCTGTTGTTTAACTTAACATAATATGAAGATTTCAAATTACAAGAAAAGCTTATTTATAAGCATTTATTCCATTTACATTTACCTAGTTTGTTTTTAACAATTTACCTAGATTAGTTATGAAAACTGAGATACTAGACAAAGCTTGTCATCATTTCAAGTTATTTCCTGTTAACCATTTTTATAGCCTGTGAATATCAGGCATTCATCTAAGTAAGAACCTTAAAGTTAAATATATGGGTATTTTGTCAATAACCTTGAAGATACAGCTGTCTTATTAAACCACAATATTAAATTAGTCTTATTTATCAAAGAATTGCACAAAGATCACTCTGTTTCAGGCTAGCAGAGACAAATATAAAACTATTGCACCAGTCAACCCAGGCAAAAATGTGTACTCACAATTTTGAAGATATTACTAGTTTTATTTTACCAATGATTTTTAAACCAGCTTATTTATCAAAGATCTACTTAGGTCACATGAAATAGAAGACATTTAGGTTAATAGCTGTGTACTTTATATGAGCACTTGTTTAAGCAAATCTGAATAGAATTTCTTAGGGATTTCTGGCCCACTATGCCAGACTACCACGTAGATACAACGTACAACATAATACATGTACATGTGCATAAACACACCTAAAGGTATATACATACACAAAGCTCTTATAGCTTTCATTTTAGAATTTTAGTCATGAGACAGTAAAATATACAAACTCACTAGTTTATAAAATATAGTTGGCTCCAAATTACATTTCTGACAAAATGGGAACTGTTCACATGGCAAAAACTATTTGCCCTGATAGTCTAATGAAAGCTGTGGACCAAAATGTTGGGTTAAGCAGTTTGGTTTTAAAAGACATTTTTGTTTGTTTGTTCCAAATGAGTTTAATGTTAAATTTTTAATGTTTATGTTTTAGCTTGAACTGGCTGAATTATACAAGAAAAAAAAATCCAAGTAGCCTTGCATTAGTAAAAAATCTGTCTTGTGTTTGCAGTCTGGTTCCCTTGCACCTGACTGGTCAATGCAGGTGGGGAAACATTTTAGCAGGTTTTGGGGGGCTTTTTTCCCTTGGCTCCTGCATGACAGAAAAAGCAATGTTTATGCCAGAGATATAAAAAATTATATTACTGCTCTGAGCTCAAGATTTTGACCTGTTTGATCTCAGATCCTAATTTTTATAAACATTTATCTAGGTCTTTCCTTTTAGACTATCAGTCTTTCAATTAACTGTTCCATCACCCTAAGCAACTGTTAGGCAAATCTAAATTTACATTTTCAAAAAGTGTCTATGTTGTTGGCTACCATGGAGCTGTTATAATTTGTAAAACCAGTAATTTGAAAGCCCTTTAAGACTTTTTTAAAAGAACCTTGGCTGGAATATCATAAGCAGTGAGTTTTATCTCAATACCAGCAGAAGGGTCAGCAGATTGGACATAAGCAGAAAAAAAATAGAGGACTTAGAATGCTAACTCTATAGTTGTAGATTTGTTTTAGAAAGTTCAGATAATGACCACTCAGCTCTGAATTTTCCTTGGTGTAATTTGCCCATCAGTTTAAAAATGTAATGAGAACGGGCCATAATACAGCCAGCTGGAGTCCCAGAATACCTGGCACATCCTCATGTTTGAGAATCCCATTCCGTTTCTTATTAATCTCTTGAGAGCAAAGAAAATCCTATAAATCCTCTCAAGAGAATGTTGGGAGTCTGGACCAGCATTTTAGAGAGACTGTCGGGAGTCTGGACCAGCGTTTTAGAGAGACTGTCGGGAGTCTGGACCAGCGTTTTAGAGAGACTGTCGGGAGTCTGGACCAGCGTTTTAGAGAGACTGTCGGGAGTCTGGACCAGCGTTTTAGATAGTGGCAACCACTCTAGTGGCTTTTAATGAGCCATCCTGGGTCCAGCATTTAGAATGCTTGTTTTTGCTCTTAGAAGATTTCCAGAAATAAGCAAGAGAAAAGAGCCACATCAAACAAAATATTAAATTAGGTGCACAGAAAGAATCAAAAGCAAATTCACTAGAAAAGACATGCCTCAGAGACGGAATGGAGATTCTGCACTTTATACCAGAAAGGACTTGCTGGAAAAGACAAAAGGTCTTTTATCACCCCAGCAGGGATGTAAGGTCCGTTATTAAAGGTGGCCTTATCACCAAAACAAACTCCTATGAAATCAAAAAGACTACCAAAAAGCAGTGAGGCTCTGCCTGAGAGAAGACTCACCAGGGTAGAAAAGCAAGTGGCAGATGCAGAGAGCTCAGAGGGCTCAAGTGAGAACTACACACCAGCTCTAAGAATCACCAGTTCCTTCCAATCACAATCTTTCTTCAGGTTCTGTTCTAGACACCACTTATGTAAACCTAAACCACAAACAGAGACAGGCTCTCTAACAGAAACTGATATTTATTTGGAAGTAGGCATTGCAATGGGAATACATGTGCCATAGTAAACTATGTGCATATATATGCAACAATGGGGAGCCAGTTAATAAGTTACTATCCGTGCCGAGGGGACAACAGCAGGATAAAATAATTCACAGTGGCTCGGGCCAGGTGTGCGGAGGCACTGGCCGCGTGGGATATCCAGGCCTTCTCTCCACTCACTCAGCACTCAGTCTTCTCAGACACTCGCAAACTGCAGAGGAATTAGCCCTCCAAGGCCCCGTGAGGCTGATTGCTGTTGACAGGTGAAAGCCTCTTCCCTCCCTGTCCCACTCACTGAGCAGCAGGAAGGCTCTGACAAGGAGCCGGCAAAGGGAAGAGAAGAGGCACCGGGGTGTGGTCCCAGTACCTTGCTACTTGCTGTCCATGGTGTCATCCCCATTGTCTTTGCCACTGGTCGCCAAGCTCTGCCTGCCTCAACGCTACACACAGCTCAGAGCATGGAGCATGGCAAGCTCATGGGGCAGCCGGTGGGGCACATGGGGCAAGTGGTGGGCCCTGGTGCTGTCCCCACCAGACTGGGGACTGCAAAGGGACCCTGCAAGTGTGATTAAATTGAGGATCGGATGGTCCTGAGTTATCCAGCTGGGCCCTGATGCATCTCAAGGGTTCTCATAACAGGGAGGCAGGAGGGCCAGACAGAAACAGAGGTTGGAGTGATGCAGCCATGAGCCAAGGAAGGCCGGCTGCCTCTAGAAGCTGGAAAAGACAGGAACAGTTCTCCTCTGGACACTCCAGAAGGAACCAGCCCTGCCGACACCTTGATTTTAGCCCAGTGAGACCCATTTTGGACTCCTGACCTCCTGAACTGTATGGTAATAAACTTGTGTTGCTTTAAGCCACGAGGTATGTAGTAATGTATTACAGCAGCCATAGCAAAAATACTGTCCAATAGGGTCCAGAAATCACAGGTGGCTGCAGAGACCAGACAAGTGGCCCCTCTGCAGGTAAATAAGGCACCTCTCTGCAAACACTCCCCTTGTCTTAGTTCCGGTCGCAGACCCTGAGTGTGGAATTGGGCTCCCGTTTCTTAGCCACTCAGCCTGACATGCTGGTCCCGGCCTGGACCTCAGCTGATGGGGAGCTCAGGTTACAGCAGGGAGGAGATGAGTGTGCTCTGTCCTTGCAGGCTCAGGTCTGGGGAAACACAGACAAGGGTGGCTGGACTGGAAGTCCATGTCGATCGGTGCCGTGCAGAGCTGGCACCCCAGCCGTCTGTGAGGTCTGTGGGTGCAGCAGGTCTTCCCGCAGCTTCCCCTCCCCCAACACCCTCCATGTCCCGACTTTGTCCATGCAACCGTTGGTCACTGCTGCCCTCCATCCTGTGGCTGAGGATTCACGGATGCCTGGACCACATGCTCTGGAGTCATGATCTACTGGCAATACTTGTCGATCTTTGCTTTGGAATTCGGGATTGAGACGGGAAGGGCTAAATTTAGCATCTGCATTCCCACATAGCAACCTCATCAGGTTCCCAGAGCCTCTAGAAGCTCCAGGTTGAGCCTCCAGGAAGGCAGCACAGCTTGGGGGACAGTACCTGGGGCCACGTCAATGAGGGAAGGCTGGGGTTTGCTTCAGACAGCACTTTGCAGGGGGTGGGGCAGGCCGCAGTGACTCGCAGCACCATGACCTTGACCACCCTATTTGGCTGTGCGCGTGTCTGAAAGAAGTGCTTACCCTGGGGAACCAGGAGGACTTCAGAGTCCTCTGGAGAAACCCACGGGCTCACAGCAGCCCTGCATTCCCTCCACCTGAAGCGGATCTTTGCGGTGAAGACAGGGGCAGGTCCCGAGAACCAGACTCCGGTCGTCATTCCTGCAGCTTGGAACCCACCGCAGCGGGCACGCAGGACAGCCAGCCCTGTGGGCAGAGCGCAGGTTTCACGGTGGGCAAAAGTCGACGCCCCCAGCCGCCTCTGGGTGGACGAGGGCTGCCTGGCATCAGCACAGCTGAGCATCTACTGAGGTGAACTTCCCAGGGGCGGAGAAACTGCGAACAACACAAGCCTGATTAGGAAGAAAAAACTAACTTGAAACGAGCCTTAGTACTTTTGGACGTTGAGTTGAAAGCTGGGTAGATATCTTTAGATTTTTTTCCCTGCCCACTAAAGGCCTCAGCGTGAAGCGGCCTTTCCCCAGGAACATCCCCAGGTCTCCCCCACGCGAGGCTCAGGCCCGGCTGTCAGCACGGGAGATTGACAGGTGATGCCGCCTTTCCCCAGGAACATCCCCAGGTCTCCCCCACGCGAGGCTCAGGCCCGGCTGTCAGCACGGGAGATTGACAGGTGATGCCGCCTTTCCCCAGGAACATCCCCAGGTCTCCCCCACGCCAGGCTCAGGCCCGGCTGTCAGCACGGGAGATTCACAGCCTTGGCTGGGCTGTTGTGAGACCCTGAGGGCAGGGGATTGCCTTGCTCATTTTCGTGTCCCCCACAAGGCTTGAGACAGTGACTTCCACACAGTGGGTATCCAACAAATATTTGATTGGGTTTTGTAAAATTCCAGTTCCCAAAATGCATCATTCTGAGAGAGTTTTTAAATCTTTCTTTTTTCCTTTTACAGATTTGGCCCAACTGAAATAATTATGTGTATGGCTCTATTTGCCTAAACAAAGGCAAAAATATGTGTCTGGTCATGAGAGATCCCAGAGCCTAGTGGACCCCAAAGGGCACCTCAGTCATTCATCTGACAACCTCCATTTCCTCCTAAGTGTGGCTACTTCCTGAGGAAAGCACAAGTGACTCCAAGGCCCACTCAGAGCACCTGATCCCGACAGCACAGGGACACCCATCTCCTTCAGAGGCCTGTGCAGCCCCAGAGCCAACCCTGTCAATATCATGGCTTCCCAGGCTGGAGCTGGTGGGAGCCACATACCAGAGGCTTGGAGGGTGAGGGCTGGCACCAAGGAAAAGTGTGGGTTGACCCCAGGGAGAGGATGGGCCCAGCTGCCCCCTGCTATGGGCATTCACTGTGACAGAAGCAACCAGCACTCACCTCCCAAGGGCCTCCACAGTGTGTGGAAATAGAACGAAGTGTAATGAATGTCTGAATTTATAGCAGAGGAACATGAAAAATTGTCTCTGTTTAAGAAGGCAGGAAAACCTTTTTACTGTTGATATCAAGTTCATTGAAGTATAACATACATCCAACAAAATTTTGCATCTTTAACAAATGGAAATACCATGGAAATACTCGTGTAACTATCACAATTGATACACAGGTTTCTGTCCAAAAAGCTCTCTTTAGTCTGAGCTGGGGCCCAGACAACGACCATCTGCTGCTGATTCTCTTGATGCCTGTAGGGTCTGTTATGATGACCCTCCTCCATTCCTGGTCTTGCTAACATGTGCTCTCTCTCTTCTTGATCAGTCTAGGTTGGAGTTTATCAAGTTTGCCAGTCCCTTCAAAGAACCAACTTTTGGTTTTGCTAAATTTCTCTGTCATCTGCTCTTTATTTCATTGATTTCTGTTCTTTATTTTTTGTTAACACTTACTTTGTGTTACTTTTGCTCTTCTTTTTCTAGCATTTTAAGGTGGAACTTCAGGTCGTTGATTTTAAGCATTTCTTCTTTTGAGGATGGGCATTTAGAGCTATAAATTTCCCACTAACCAAGTAGTGTTCTAAATGCTTAATTGGAATGATTAAAATTTTATAAATTTTGTAAAAGTTTTAATCTGTAAAATTTATTCAGATTCACACATTTCCTTGAAGATGCCCCTGAAGCTTCCTTCGCATAGCACTGGGGTGATGTGGCATGTTTAGGGCTGCCCTGGCCTTGTCCCGCTGGCTGTTTCTCTTGGTTTTGGGGAGCTGTGACCCAGGGATTGGTGACCGTGGGCTCACTCAGTGATGACGACAGGAAGACGGATGTTTTTCACACAAGTGCCTGAAGAGAAAATGCACATTAATTTTTTTTTCTCTTGGATGTACAGCGTTGGTAAACCAAGTCAAGCAGAAAGGAGGTGGAAGGAAATTCCTGGCTTTCCTGGCAGCTTGTCTGTCTGGGCACTTCATGGTAGTTTGTTCACTGGCACCAGCGGACCTAGCAGGTCCCATTCATGCAAACGTTGTCTCTGCCCCCAGGCTCTCTGCAAAGCACACCAGGGTGTTTGTTTCTATACAAACTGGATTTATCCCTCTGGTCAGTCAAGCCTACTCCTTCAGATTTTAACCTGATTTGTTATGGAAAGGAGAACTGTCGAGCGGCTGCCCCTGCTGGCCTCTTCCCAATAACTTCTGAGCTTGCAGGTGGATTTCCACCGCATTTGACCTAGAGGCGGAATATTGAAGGCCTCTCCACAGGGCAGGGTCCTGCTCAGGACTGGAACGCATCCAGCCCAAGCAGAAATCTGCTGTGGACATTCCTGGGATGGGATAGGATCCAATTGAAGATTGTTACAGGACCCCAGAGGGTTAGCTCTGTGCTGGTATTGGGTACCAGTGAGCAGTGAATTTGTGAGGCCTGGTGAACCAGGCAGACTCGTGTAGAGCACAGACAAGCCTGAGAATACAGACCAGAGATATAATGGGAGCTGGGAAGTTGTGCCCACTCTGGACAGAGCTGCACCCAGGACCAGCAGACACTGAAGAAAGGAGCCCAGGGCTTCTCTGAAGCTGACAAGACTGTCCCCAAGAGAAAGGGTGCCTGGCTTCTCCTGGCCACAACATAGCCCCAGTGCAGACACAGCCAGGCCTGCCCTGTGGCTTGTGACCACAAGACGGCCTTCCTGGAGCCCAGCTGGGCCTGGAACTCAGAGCCAGGCTAGACACCTCCTCCACCCTTGCTGGCTGGCAGAGATGGGATCCTAGAGGTGTATCCAGGGTCTGGGCATAGTAGATGTTCAGTGAAAGGCAGTTGCTGCAATCATGCTGGCAATCAACGATGTAATCACCAATATCCTTTCTCCCTGAGCTATCCTCATGCTGGTGATGGTGGAGAGATTGGGGACCTCATTCTGAGGGGCCAAACCAAATGCAGGGAATACAAGGTCTGAGAGACGAACCACATGTCACGGTAGCCAGTGGCCAGTGCACGCGAACCTGTGTATATTGACTTTGATCGGCTTTGAGGCCGAACCTTCTGGGATCCCACCTCCATGGCCGAAAGGCATCTAATTCTCCTTTGATCCTGTAAAGGGCAGTTTGATTTCTCCTGTAAACATCCACAGAAACCGGAGGCCTGAGATAGTGACACTGGAAGGTGGGCAGGCTGCTAATGAGGATTCCTGGCTGCGATTCAGCCTCAGCACGCAGCTCTGTGTGCCTGGCTGTTGTTAACTGTGCAGTGCTCTGGTTAAGCGAGGCTGGGAGTGGCACTGGCGTGTTAGTAATCCGCACTCACCAGCACCACGCGGGCTCCCCGGCCTCTGTGCCTCTCGGCAATGCCGCACCCATGGGAAGGGAGGAGAAGCTCCCGCCCACCCTCCATCTGTGCCCGTGTCAGGGCTTACGGGAACATATGCTGCCTGTTACTCACTGACCATCTGTTCACAGAGCTGATGAAGTGTCCCGGTTACCCTGGCAACGAAGCCCTTGATTGGCGGCGGCTCCACAAACATTTGCTGCTCAGGTTTCACTTTTATCTGTGCTCTGGAATGGGGCTGGGTGGGGGATGCTGAGGCCTGGGGGCTGGGGATCAGCAGGCTGGGGGGTGGGCTGGAGGCTGGGGAAGCAGGCTGGGGTGGTGGGCTGAGGCTGGGAGGTCAGAAGGCTGGGGGATGGGCTGGGTACTGGGGGTCAGCAGGCTGGGGGGTGGTCTGGGGCTGGAGGAGCAGGCTGGGGGTGGTCTGAGGGCCTAGGGGTCAGCAGGCTAGGGGGTGGTCTGGGGCTGGGGGAGCAGGCTGGGAATGATCTGGGGGCTGGGGGGTCAGCAGGCTGGGAGGTGGTCTAAGGACCTGGGGGGACAGAAGGCTGAGGGATGGTCTGGGGCTGGGGGAGCAGGCTGTGGGGAGCAGGCTGGGCCTGGGGGTTCTGCAGCTGGGAGGCCAGGCTCCCCTTCTCCATTTTCCTTTCTCACCTCTCTCCCACCTCCTTTCCCTCAGCACTCACCCACCTCCAGTCCAGCCCTTCTCCCCAAAGTTCAGAGCAGGTAGAGCTGGGAATATGGCTGACCAGTCTGAGAGCTGGGTGGGGGCTTGTTCTTGTTCACCTGGTGCCACGTTCTTGTTCACCTGGTGCCACTACCTTTTTCCCAAATTGCAGGCTGGAGTCTAAGGGCTGAGGATTCTCAGCCTCCCAGTCCAGGGCAGCAGCTGCCCAGAAGCCACCTCACGGCAGTGGACATCTGTGCCCCCGTTTTGGAGACCTGGTGTGATGAGGACACATGGGCTGCAATTAGCTGTTAGCAGGGCCGTCCATGGACCACAGTCCCAGGAAGACGTTCTGCTCAGTTGCTCCGGAAGGGACCTAGGGTGCACTGCAATTGCGGAGGGGTGGTTGCTGCTGATCCCAGACCCCAGAGGGAGTTCCTGAGTTTTTAGCTTGAGTTGAGGAGCTGATAATGGAAGCTGCAGCAGCCCGTTCATGGCAGTCCCAAAAGGAGGCAAACCACCTCCTCTCCGCTAAGGACATCGGCCAAGTGCTGAGGCCAAAGGCCTGCAGATGAACCCTAGTGTGAGATGGACAGGCTGAGGCACAACACTAGTGCCAAACTGAGCCTTCGTTCTTTTCTTTAGCGAGACCTGGGATTGAGCGTCACAAAGTCTAGATTCTATTTATTCCACCGTCTCACAGTCTGGTAGCACATGTCTGTGGGGAGCCCTCCTCACTCCTGTCTGAGCTTGGAATCCTGGGACTAAGAATAGCAGCGTGGCCCTGCTCTGCACAGGACTGGTGTGAGTGCCAGAATGCTGAGTCTCAGGGCATGTGGATTGCACATTCATGGCATGTGGAGGCCACGTGGGGTCTCAGACAGCACAGGTGAGGGAGCTCTGTGTCCACAGGGACCACGACATTTTATCACAAGGGGCACAGCACGCCAGCGTCCTCTCTCCCAGGAAGAGAGGCCCCAGGCTGTCTGCTGTTGGCTGAGATGATTGAGTCACTGGCCCTGCCGCACAGCTGGGGTCAGACACGGAGGCCAGGCTCTGCTCCAGGCTCTCTGGGGCCTTCTTGTCACCGGATGCTGAGCAGAAGTGGGGTGACACAGAATGCCCACACCCCACAAACTCCCTGGGAAGTCAGTGTCTCTGAAAGATTCCATCTGGGACAAACAGAAGCCATCACTTGGTTAGAGTCCGCCCATCACGGCTCTGCCTGGAATGGAGACGGCCTGGACCCAGGTGTCATCACTCTCTCTGCTCATGGCCCCCAGAATTTTGCAAAATCTGTTTTAAAAGTTTCCTTGTAAAAGTGACCCGTCCTCCGTCAGGAGCCTGGGTCTCACTGGCCATTTTAGGAGTGCAGCCTTCCCGAGCTCAGCAGAATCCCTCCGTCACAGTGAGCACGGGTGGCACTGTCCTTCCCCTTCCTGGGTCCTCCCAGGCTGGCGACCCCTCGTGGCCTTGATTCTACCCTTTCAAAAGTCCAGCTCCCACCGGCCCCTGCAAGGCGCGCTGCGGGGTCACCACAGGTCTGTCCAGGGCACGGTCAGGCCCATGAGACCCCTTGTTCTATAGGACGCTACTCTCCTTAAAAACAGGGACTTTGTCCCTCACTGAATTGTAGTTTTCTGTATCATTCGTCATTGCAGCTTTGAAGCATCAAGAGTGTTTCCTAAATATGATTAAAATCTGGCCTTCAGACAGCTTTTGAATTAACTGACAAATGTATGTTGGGCACGAAACGGATTTAGGGACGTCTGCCCTGGGCTTTTACCAAACTCCAGCTCTTACACTTTATTATCTCACCTGAAATAAAATTGAAATTTCTTCATAATGTCTGATATATATTTTAATTTCTGGCAGAGATACATTAAAAGACCTGTTTCAAGGTTACTTGGCTAAAGAATGGAAAATGTCAGTTTTCAGCTGTACCATTTCCCATCTAGTCCAACAGTATTTAAGCTTCTCCAAACAAAAATAGAAGGAAAGCTTCCACATTTTTTTGTCAGGCCAGCATGACATTGCCACCAAAGAGACCAGCTTAAAAAAAAAAAAAAAAAAAAAACAACTACCAACCAACCTAATGTGTCAATAACAATATAAAGAGGCCCAATAAAATATGAGCAAATGAAACGCAGCGGCATGTTGAGAATTACACACCACGACTAAGGGTGGGTTGTTCTGCCCAGTGCAAGTAGCAATGACTCAGTATTGGGTCTATTAATATAAATCACCATTTAATAGAGCAAAAGAGAAAAACAGTATGACCAGCCCTAGAAATGCTGGCAAACAGTGGATGGAAGTCAACATCCTCCTCTGTGTTTTGAAGTAGAGACTGAAATGTTCATGATAAAATGGGAAGGAATGAATAGTTCTTTTACAGGATAAATGACCTCTGCCTCATCCTGACCATTCCCTACAGCCATGAGGAGGCCAAGACACTCAGAGTTTCCAGGCTGCATTCTCTCACTGCTTTGCAGGCACATCTCATGCAATTAAGGCACAGAAACTGGGAGTGCAAAAATGAGAAAGGAGCAGAGAAAGTGATGATTACTTATAGATTATTTTATTGTGCATCTGGATAACCCTGAAGGAGCAATTGCAAACAAATATGCAAAAATATAATTCAACAAGGTTAGCAAGAAATGTGAAAACGGCCCTGCCTCGGAGGGATGTGCACAGACGGGGCAGAAGCCAAGCAGGTATACAGACTTTCAATTTTTGCAAAGTTAGTCTCTGCACATATGATACAATCCCAGTTAAAAGGCTAACTTTTTAAAAACCAGACAGGCTAAATCTAAATTTGTGTAAGGAAATATTTAAGAATACATAAGACAAACCTAAAAGAAAAAACAAATAATAGAGAAACTATTACTATCAGATCTCAAAACATATTATAAAATTCCATTTAAAGCTATGTCCATTTAAAAATATGTTACTGGCAAATAAATAATTAGAAAGCATAGAAATAGACCTCAAAATACTGCAAATTATAAGACAAAGACATTCAAATCATGAGGGGAAACAGGATATTCATATAATGATGTTGACTAGGTAGTCTCCTGGAAAAACTATGAAGTTGGTTCTATACTTCACCAAAATTAATTCCAAATAGAGCAAAGGTGTAACTCCCAGAAAGAAAAAAAAAAAAGGAAGAAAAGAAGCAAAGAGGAGACCATGGGAGAATTTTTTATGACATTGGAGTAGGGAAGATCTAAACACAAGACAAAATCCAGAAGCCATAATAATGCTAAGAAATATGATGACACAAAAATAAAACCTTCTGCCTAGAATGAAACACCACCACGAGTCAATTGAAAGATAATAACAAGCTGAAAAAGAAATTTGCAATTAATACCAGAAACAGTCATTTCCAAATATTTAAATCAATAAGAAAGAGACCAGTAAGTCAATAAGTAAAAAGAAGCAAAGGATTTCAACTGAGTTCACAGAAAACAAAATATAAGGCACTCTTAACCGCATGAAGAAAATGCTCAACCTGCTCACAAAGCCCTGCTCAGGGCCAGGGTGTGGGCAGTCAGTTCTTGTGTGTTGTGAAGGCTACATAAAGCCCATCTCTTCGAAGAACAGAAAACTGGCCACATCCATCGCATGGCAAATGCATGTGAAACCTGGTCGAGCAATTCTATTAACAATTCTATTCCTATGAATTTATTCTATGGATACAATCATGCAGACGTGAAACAACGCATGTGTGGTTACTCGCAAAGGCAGGGCCCTATAAGCTTGGAAGTGGCCGTCAATGGTAGAGCAAGTCTAGAATTTGGAAAAGGCTCACACAGCACATGGCCATTAGCTGGTTTGTGATTCCTCCTTCATCATTCATCCGTCAAGGGCGTTTCTCATTAGGCCCTGGGGGTGTACTCAGCCCTGCCAAGCAGAGCAGGCACAGATTCTCCCTCAAGAGTTCAGAGCTTCTCACCCTGGCTCTTCCCTTAAGAATCTGGCTCCCAGGGCCACCTCCCAGGGACCCCATTGTCAGAGTGGAGGAACGGGCTTGGGCAGGTGTGACCTCCAGAATCCTCAGAGGCTTTTCCCGCTCTGGGAGTGGCTTCAGACCTGAATCATGGCAACCCAGCCCCCTCCTGATTACAGACCATCCTGGAGTGTTACCGTGGAGATGGGAGAGCCCAGACAACGGAGATGTTCTGAGGGAATTTCCATTCCTGTCTTCAGGACATTCTGCCAGGATGCGGACCTGCTAGAAGTATGGGACACCAGTTGTCTCTTTGCTAGAAGGCCCCCGTCCCAGGTGTGCCTCCCTGCCTCACTGTCACCTCAGCACAGTCCAGCGGGGCCAGGAGAAAACCACCAAGATAGCGCAGTCCCTGGGAAGGGGTAGCTGCCAGGCCCTACACTGTGGGAAGAGGGCTCTTGGGCTCCCCCTGGGCCCTGTGGCCTGGCAGGAGCCACCAAATGACAAAACTGGGCAGGCAACCTGTTCTGTTGTCTGGAGGGCCTCAGAGCCCACACGGCTTTCTCTGTGTACAACGTGTGCTTGGGGAACACGGGCAGCTGCCCTGACAGGAGTTTCCACACACAGAGTCCCTCCAGACTTCTGTGCCTCCACCTCAGAAACGAGCCACTCTTCCAAGCCATCAGAGTGCTTTTTGGTCCTGAATCGGGCCTTGCATTTGTACGTACCTTGGATCCGAGAGGCTGTCAGCCTAGAGAGAAGAGCACGCTGATGAGCTGCAGGGCTGGGATGGAGAACGGACAACAGAAGTCATCACCTGACTTGCACAACCACCTATGCTTTCTTCTTCATGTAGAATTCCCTTCCAGAGCCAGATAGAGTGAGAAGCAAGAAGAGAGCCATGTTGAACAAAATGCTGGGTCATAAGGCTGTGCCTGGCGCCTCTGGGGTGCCCTGTGAATGCTGACGGGCCCGCAGCTCTGCCTGGCCAAGGAGCAGCTCAGAAACGCCCCGAGTATGAGCTGATTTGACACCTGGCAGCTAGGCCTGGGCTCAGAGCAGAAGGCTTGTAGGACTTCTCAGTCAGTCGGCACCTGTCACCGCTGCGAAACACACCCTCAGTCAGTCTCACCCATCACCGCTGTGAAACACACCCTCAGTCAGTCTCACCCATCACCCCTGTGAAACACCCTCAGTCAGTTGGCACCCGTCACCGCTGTGAAACATCCTCAGTCAGCACCCATCACCGCTGTGAAACACACCCTCGGTCAGCGAGGACGCACAGTGGAGGAGCAGCCCTGCCACCCTCTTGACATAGCTCAGCCTCTCCACTGGGCAGGTGCAGAGGCACCTGCCAAGGCTTCTGCCACTGCCTGGCAGAACGGCCCTCTTCAGACTTGCTTCTTAGGAGTAGGGGCTACAGCGCTGAGTCCCACAGGTGGGTCTGGTCTGGAGGACACCCGGCACCCGGAATCTCATAGAACAGCCCTGACAAAACATTAATATCCCTGCTAATGATGCCTGGCTGTCAAAGCTGGGGCAGAAGCCTCAGTCCAGGTGGCGGAAAACACTTGGAAGGGCTTTGAGAACTTGCTTACAGAAAAGGCACCAGCTCAACAGGTAAAGTTGTTTCCTGTCATCAAAGCCAAAGGGAAAATGCAAAGTTTCAAGTCTACCTTCCCTGGCAGCTTCTTCAGACGAGGTCTCCCTGGCTCCCTGGTTTTTCTCCTGGCATGGCCCTGCCTCACGACGCCTACCATTGTTGCCATCCGTGCCAGGTTTGCCCACAGTCCGCCCTCGACTCTGTCCCCTCAGGCCTGGCTGCCGTGTGCCTTCCTGGGGGCAGCTCAGGGCTGAGTCAGACACCTCACACCACATCCTCCTTGACCCCGACGGCCTCACGCCCTCCCTGCCACAGAGAGGCTGCAGCCCACTTGGGCTGTTCCTGATGGAAAGCCCTTTGAGCCGGGCCCAGACCTGCAGCTGTGGGATCCTGAGACAGCAGCCCCTCTGGACGGCATTCAGGGTCCCAGGCAGCGCCTGTGCTGTACCGTTCATTCAGCTCCAGAGGTTCCTGCTGCTTGGCGCTCTGCTGCGAAGCCACTGCAGCCCGGCGGTGGGAGGGTGAGCCCCTCGCTCTGCCCACCTGCTGCACTGCGCTCTGCGGGACCCTTGGTGCTTCTGAAAACAAGGGTGGGTTTTGTGGGCTGAGGTGAAGCCTCTGCTGGGCCCAGAAGTCCCTTCTGAGAAGGAGAATTGGGGCCAGCTGCTGAGGCCTCGAGGAACACAGACCAGGATAGACACTTGTGTATCAGGACTTTGCTTCTAAGAAAGGAAACCTGTGAGTGTTTTTTGTTTTTTGTTTTTTTTTTAATGGAAGTCAGAGCCTGGAGTGAAGACAGCCTCTGTCCCACCCTCCGTCCTACGCGGGCGCGGTGCTGAACTGCAAAGGCAAAGCTCCCGGTGGAAATGGCCTGCCCGCTATTCTGCGCCCTCTCTGACAGGCCCTGAACAGAAGTGTGGAAATGCCTTCCGGGAGGGTGCTAGCGAAGTCACTGTCACGCCTGCAAGTTGGACTCAACTGTAACACTTTTTCTGTTTGGTTTCATGCAAACAATTCAGCCAAGCCAGCACACAGCTGCCCCAGGAGCAGATGGATTTGTAATTGCCGGAATAACGGCGTTGCGTCAGCTACCCCACACATCCTCAGCCAGACCCAAGGGTGATCTGCGGAGTCCAGGCTGAGCCGCTGCACTCTGAAGCCTGTTAAGCTATCGTTTGGGACGCATTTTCAAAGTTCCTGAAGTAGAATATGAGCATTCCTTCCTTACTGGTATTTTGACGTATGTCTCGGTGGAAGATTTTTACTCCTTGAATTAATTCCTGGAGAAAACACACTACAATTCAGAAACAAACGCAGGCTTTATGTCCCTTGTTCATATTTAAAAATTTAAAAGGCAGAGAAACATCCTTACTGGATTTCCCAGTAGCTTACTTAATGACGTGACGGATGCCTCAGCCCAACAGAGCATGGCTTAGTCCTGCCGACTGGAGCTGAGGGCTGTGTCTCCTCCAGCTCGGAGTGCACGGCATGACTTAAATTTGGGTGTGTGACCAAGGGTGTCTCACTCTGCTCCAGCCTGGAGAGGACTCGCCTATTAGAGTTACCTGCTGCCAGTCAACATTCTTCCCACAACACAATCCACATCAGTAGGATAGAACCAGTGGGTCGTGTAGGCTACATTCACTGGGGAGAGACATGAAAGTTATCTATTACAGAAGTTATCCACTATGGGAGTTATCTACTATAGAATGGCTTCAACGTGAAGTGAGTTTAAGGGCCCTGGAACTAGGGATGTGGGTTTACTGTTGGGGTCTCTGATTCTGAGAACCCACCTGATGCAAACTCTGGTGAAAGGAACATCCTCCCCCCAAATCACGCGAGTTCTCCTGATCGGATTCTCCTGACCGAGTGAACGTCCCCCTCCCGGATCACGCGAGTTCTCCTGATCGGATTCTCCTGACCGAGTGAACGTCCCCCTCCCGGATCACGCGAGTTCTCCTGATCGGATTCTCCTGACCGAGTGAACGTCCCCCTCCCGAATCACGCGAGTTCTCCTGATCAGATTCTCCTGACCGAGTGAACGACCCCCTCCCGGATCACGCGAGTTCTCCTGATCGGATTCTCCTGACTGAGTGTTTCCTGACACATGGGCACCAGGCAGTGCCTCCCTCAGGACACACAGCAAGGGGCTGTGGCCACATTTCTTCCCTTCAAGCTGCTCTTCCAATTCCTGGCCTCCCAATCTTCCTAACCACACCTCACCACAACCGTCCGACACCAGAAGCTCCAGTGGGAGTTCAAAGCCCTCAGTGCGGCTCTGACCCAGGCTGTCACAACTTGCCAACATGAACCCTGTGGCCAGAGCCCTCTGACCACTGACACCACATGTGCTTCCCCATATCCATGTCCCTGTGGCCTTTCCCCCGGGGAGCTCTTACCATGGGGTGGGGGTTTGACCTTGAAGGACACCACTGCAGCAAGCAGCACCAGCCTGGCGGGCCATGAGCCAGCACCCCACGGGTCGCACCCTTCCTCTCTGCTCCTTCCCCAAGGCCAGCTCCATAAAAGCTCTCTGGAGCCCTTCACGGCTGTGTGTCATCTCTGCAGAGCCTCTGTGGCTGTGTGGCTGGTATCCAGCGTGCTTAGCAACTCTCTCGTCAGAATGGATGCCAGCTGCTGGTGCGGGCCCTGCCGGCCCAGGTGTGGAGAGGGCACTCATGGACCCAGCACCAGCTCCTGATGCATCACCAAGAGCCTCTCAGCTCCACATCCCTGCACCAGATGGGGGCTCACAGGGCAGAGAGCTCACCAGCTCAGCAAGGCCATGTTCATGGTATGGCGAAGGTCGCCATCTGCCTCCCGCCCATTCTGATGGTCTCAGTCACAACCATGAGTCCTCCAGGCAGCTCTGCGCTCGTGCAGGCTGAGGCACCTCCACACTGACTCCACAAGGACTCAGCGAAGAATTGTGAGTAGATAGATGGTGCCTAACGCATGAGAGAGTGGTGAGGGCCACGCATGTCACCCCGTGCAGCCGTGAGCCAGGAGCACGAGCTCAAAGGACGCTGAGGGAGAGGGCAGTGGAGGGGCTTTTAGAAAATGGGCAGTGGAGCCAACCGAGAGCATTGGCAGAGGGTGACAGCACTGTCCCGGGAGGGCGTTTGTACGTGTGAGTGGCAGGGACCAGGACAGGAACCACCACTCTCCGTGTCCTTTACCTTTTTATTGTTTAAATGTGTTACAAGCTTGTGTGGCGCTCGTAATTAAAAGACAGACTTGGCCGGGCATGGTGGCTCACACCTGTAATCCCAGCACTTTGGGAGGCTGAGGCAGATGGATCACCTGAGGTCGGGAGTTCGAGACCATCCTGACCAACATGGAGAAACCCCATCTCTACTAAAAATACAAAATTAGCCGGGCATGGTGGTGCATGCCTGTAGTCCCAGCTACTCGGGAGGCTGAAGCAGGAGAATCACTCGAACCTGGGAGGTGGAGGTTGTGATGAGCCAAGATCGCACCACTGCCCTCCAGCCTAGGCAACAAGAGCGAAACTCTGTCAAAAAGAAAAAAAGGACCTGATTCTGCCTAACTCCTGCCTGTGATTTGACCTCTGACTCTGAAAACTGGGATCTTCCTGCAAAAACTTCAGAGATGAGGGCTTGCCCTGTGGAAAGCCTGGTGGTGAGGGCCTGCCCCGTGGAAAGCCTGGTGGTGAGGGCCAGACCGTCGACAGAATACGAAGGCAGAGATGAGCACTGTGGGCTGGTGGAATCACACCCAGGGCAGATCAGCAGACGCGGAGGCCTGAAGCGCCTCCATCTGAGATGGAGCTCTAGGCACTGCCTCCCGGGTGGTGGATGGAGGCAAAGGGGCCAGGATCTCCTCGGCGCCCCAGGCCCTGGCAGGCGTGGGCCTGGCTATGGAGGTAGAATCTTGTGGTATCTCAAAAGTTGATGCAGTTTTGAAATGCAGTTATTCCTTAACGCTAATTCCCTCAACTGTTCTCTCAATGAGTTCAGAAAGACTGAGATCGCAGCCTCCAAAGGCACATGCAGTGAGTACCCTTGAAGCTTCCGTTCCATTTGCCTGTTCGCTCTCTGATCGCTGCGTCCTCTGCTCTCGCCCAGCAGATGAGTGTGGCAGCTCTTACGCACTGGGAACCGTGCCAGTTGCTGGGGGCCAGGGACAGGGTGGTCTCAGACCCCTTCTCCAAGGAGAGTCAGCCGACGAACAGCACACAGGAGGTGTAAAAGCAGGAAGAGAAGAGTCAGGCTGGGGCGCCTCCCAGGGCAGGGGAAGGATGGATGCTGCCCAGCGCAGAGGACGGGAAAGGCTGGGACTGAACCACAGGTCTCTGCAGCCTGCCATACTGAGCCCCCCACCTCCCTGGGCCCATAATTTCCTTTCTCTGAGCTCCTCACGTGGCTCTCTCTGAGCCAGGGCCCCAGCAAGCCAGCAGGCAGGCACAGCGTCCCTGAGAATGAGTGCTGGTGGATTCTACGTCTTTGCTATTGTGAACAGGGCTGCAGTGGACACGCCTGTGCAGAAATCCCTTTGATATGTTGATTCCTTTTCCTCTGGGTGGATCTACAAGAGTGGGATTGCTGGATCTAATGGAAGCTCTGGCTTTAGTGTTGGGGAGCTCTCCACGCTGCTTTCCATCGAGGTTGTACTTACATTCCCACCAGCAGCGTCTAAGAGTTCCCTTTTCTCCAAATCCTCGCTAACATCTGTAATTTTTTGTCTTTTTAGTAATGGCCATTCTGACTGGGGTAAGATGGTATCTCATTGTGGTTTTGATTTGCATTTCTCTGATACTTAGTAATGATGAGAATTTTTTCATAGACCTGTTGGCCACATGTGTGTCTTCTTTTGAGAAATGTCTGTTCAGGCTTTTTGTCCACTTTTTAGTGGGATTTTTTTTCCTGTTGTTTGATTTCCTTGTACATTCAGGACATTAGTCCCCAGTCAGATAAATAGTTTGCAAATAATTTTCTCCCATTCAACCAGCTCTCTCTTCACCCTATTGCTCCCTTGTGCAGAAGCCCCTTGGTTTGACGTAGCCTCCTATGCCTGTTTTTGTTTTTGTTACCTGAGCTTTTGATCACACTAAATACCCTGACTTGACCACTACACATTAGACACACGTAACAACATTTCTCATGTACTCCATAAATTTGCACAACTAAAAACAAATAACTTTTCAAATACAAAAAATAATAAAGGATAAGCATTAGCATCAAAACCATGGAAATGATGGGTGGCTTGGGAGCCAAGCAGGGCCATGGTGGGGAAGGGCCTCCGCTCAGGGTCGCTCGTGGTCAGGGCCGGCCTGCGGACCGGCTCGGGGTCGCTCGTGGTCAGGGCCGGCCTGCGGACCGGATCGGGGTCGCTCGTGGTCAGGGCCGGCCTGCGGACCGGCTCGGGCTCTAATTCCAGCTCGGTGCTCTTCAGCAAGTCACTCTCTGAGCCTCAGTTTCTTCAGCCAGCAAGAAGAGCTTACAATAGGATTGGGGTGGCAGGTGGATCGAGCTAACGCTCATGAAAATGTTACCGCAGGCCCTAGGGCACAGAAAGCACTCAACCATGCCTGTTCCTCCCTCTTTCTGCAGGAACCCATGTGAACCCTTGAGGCATATGGGACCTAAGCTAGACACCACATGGCTGATAATTACCACTTTTCTTAGCAAATCTGCTACCTCACTCCCGCTCCCGTGACACTGAAGATAGGAGCGGAGCCCCTCAGAGGATGAGTGTGAGGAGAGGAGGCCTGAGGGGTGCCCCTCCCCACACTCCTCCAGGGGCTTCCATTAGCAGAGAAGCCTCACCCAGCTTCACACTGGGAGCTCTGGAAGCCCCCCCGAAAGGTGGAGTTCAGAGCACAGGACACAGTCCTTCTGCAGAAGACCACCTGTGACAGCTTTGCAATCACAGCCAGGATCAATATCACGTTCTCACCACTTGGCAATTTAGCAATTACTGAATTTGTGTCAAGAAAACACGCGTTCCATAAAAGAATCTTAAAATATGTTGACTCAATACCTCGGGTGATTGTCTTCGACACCCGCCCACTTTGACAATAGACATTACAGTGGCGTTCTAAATATTCTAAGGGATCTGCTGAGGCTCAGGAATTGCAGCCCTTTCTTTATGGTGAGAATGTGTAATTAGTAAATTGAATAGATTTCAACACTATTTTGGGAAACTGTTGAAGGGGCAATTGCAATGCTGCGGTGCTTGGGTCTCATTTTGTGTGTGTGTGTGTGTGTGTGTGTGTGTGTGTTAATTACATACTCAACAGCAGCTGCTGAGGCAAGATGAGCCAGTGTTTTTCTTCCTTCTCCTCCCAGGAGACACGGACTAGCTGTCACAAAGATGCGGCAGAAGTTTGTGAGTGTCCATTTGGAGTTTTCCCAGGCCAGGCCCTGGGGTCACTGCACAGCCAGCAGCCGCCTCACTCTTGCCTCCTTTCTGCTCAGGCAGAGCTAAGCTCTAGGGAACTCACTGTGAGCATTCCCACTGGGGATTCCCTGGGACTTTCTGGGTCAGGTCCCATCCCTGATCCTCTGCTGCAAGGGACTGTGATGACTGTGGTCTGGGGAGGAGGCCGAGGGCAGGGAGGGGCGTGGGCCCGGTATCCCTCAGGCCCATCACCACCCATGGCCACTGGCCAGCTCAGCTCGTGCCTGGCAGAGGATGGTAGGGGCAAAGGCCAGGTGACCCTGTGTGGAGCCTTTTAGGACCCATGGGAGCTCCTCCACCTCGTTTGTAAATGAGCCAAACAAGACCCTGGAAAGCAAGATCTGCCTAAACCTCAGGGAGAGCCCAGGCATCCGCTCAGCAACAGCTCCAGGCAGGCCGTGCCCAGGGCTGAGTATGGCCACATCATCGCTCGTCCCGCGAGGGACATGAGAGCCCTCCCGGCCTGAGCTGGCGAAGCTGAGACGGGGCCTTTCCCATGGGCTCTGCTGTGCACCGGCTGCTCACTTTGCTTTAGCAAGACCCAGCCAGACATCCCTTGCCTGGAGCAGCAGCAGCACCTGTGACCCAAACGTGGGTCAAGGGGTTTCCTCTATTGCTCTGTCCAGCCCCCACCCAGCCCCAGAGCCCTGTTTCTTAAGCAGTTTTAATAGGACTAAACTAAAGCAACTCACGACATGGTGGCGGCTCTCAAGCTCTGCTGTCCATCTGAACCTGGAGGGCCTTGCTGAACACAGGTCTTTGGCCCCACTCCAGAATTCGTGATCCAGGTGAAGCTTGAGACTGGCATTTCTCACAAGCCCTGCGATGCCGCTGGTGTGGGGACCACAGTTTGAGAACTTTGGACTTGATTGCTGATGACATTCAAAGCTTCAATTACAAGAACAAACTGAAGCTGTCTGCAGGATGCAGAGTGCCTCTGGCCCACGGTGCCTCCAACCCCCCAAGAAGGCTGCCGGCCCCTCCCGCACCAGCCACTGTGCCCTGGTTCAAAGGCCAGAGCCAGAGATGCCGGCCCCTTGTGGGTTCCGTCACCAACCAGCACTGATGGAACATGGCGATGCTGAGCTGCCAGAACAAGCCGCATTAAAACAGTGGAGTCCACCCTCCAGAACCTGCAGGGCTCAGTCCACCAGGAGGGTGCTGCTGAAGCCTCGCCATCCCCCCCGGAGGCACTGTCCCCTGCCTGGGCCTGCGCGTGGGCTGTGCTGGGACCCTCCACATGCACCCACCCTCCCCAGAAACCCTGCAGGACAGGGCCTGGGATGGGCAGGAGCCCGGTCACATCCCCCCTGCCACCTCAATGCCTGGGACCCCCTCAGTAGGCACCTGGGCCCTGCACCCTGGTAGCAGGTGGACGGCAGCATCCTGTGCCTGTTTCTGTCTTCAGTGAATGTTTAAAAAGCTACTGGAACCACATCCACGGGTGCACCCAGCAGGACCAGGGCAAGGGGTCCCAGCCCCGAGTCAGTGTCACCCCCACTCTCACTGAGAATGCCCAGTCCCCCGGGGCCAAGAGCAGACGCAGCCTGACAGAGTTGGCGGCAGATTTAGGCAAAGTCTGACACCTGCGAAGGCTCTTCCTTGATGGGGCCTGGAAGAGTGTGTGAGAGTGTCAGTGTGGGGTGAGGCTGTGTGTGAGAGTGAGTGGAACAGTGAGAGTGTGTGTGTTAGTGTGAGTGTACGTGGGAGTGAGTGTGTGAGTGTGTGTAAGAGTATGGAAGAGTGTGTGTAAGAGTGAGGGTGTGTGTTAGTGTGAGTGTATGTGGGTGTGAGGGTGTGAGTGTGTGAGTAGGAGAGAGGGTGTGTGTGTTAGTGTGAGTGTATGTGGGAGTGAGGGTGTGAGTGTGTGTGTATGTGTGTGAGGGTGTGAGGTGTGAGTGTGAGTGTATGTGTGTGAGTGTGTGTGAGGGTGTGAGGTGTGAGTGTGTGAGTGTATGTGTGTGTGAGGTGTGAGTGTGAGTGTATGTGTGTGAGTGTGTGTGAGTGTATGTGTGTGAGGTGTGAGTGTGAGTGTATGTGTGTGTGAGGTGTGAGTGTGCATGCGTGTACACATGTGTGAGTGAGGAGCCCAGGATCCCGGCTGCTTGGGTCTCCCTGGCCTCCTACGGCTCCTGAGGGGAAAGGGCTCCTGCCTGTGCCCTTTCTCACCTTCTCATCCCAATCTTTAAGGACAGAGTGGGGACAGCTCCCAAACCCAAGGCCTCAGGAACGGGGAAATGGTGGCCCCAGCTGCCAATTGGAGCAGCCTCTCTGTCCCTGGCACCTGGGAGCAGCTTCCAAGGGGCCCGAGTGGCGGAGGAAGCAGCCTCCCCAGCTCCTTCTTTAGTCCGTGGACACCCTCACAATAGCCCTTTGAATATTAACTCCTTTGTGCCCCAGATAGCATCTCATCTTCCTGAAAATGGTACCAAAATATTTGATCAGGTACCACAGCCAAATCCAGAGCAGGAAGACAGTCATTTTTCTCTGTGAGCGGCAGATGCAGACAGCCGAGAAGAAACTTGAAAGGCTTCTGCTGCCTCATCCGCCGGCCTTCCCCCGGTGAAGGCACCGCCTGTCCCGCCCCATGGGAAAGGTCACATTCCAGGGGCCCCTCCCATGTCCCCTGCAATATGGGAATCAATCTCGTGTCCCCAAGTGTCTGGAGCTGCTCTATCCCAGGCAGCCCCAGTCGAGGATCTCAGGGCCGGCCCACCTGGGCTCAGCCCCCAGTGCTGCGTGGGGGCCCCCATGTCCCTGTGGCTGCTGAATTTGAACAGTACCCACCAGAAGGCTGCTGGGGAGGGGAAGGGCACAGCGAGCCAAGTAACTGAACTGTGTGTCTGAAAGGGCCTGCTGCACGGTAGGCGGGAGGTGTTGGTCCTGTGTTCCCACCAGCCAGGCACTGAGGAAAGTCACCTCCTTCCTCCCAGCGCACCTCCCAGACACTCAGAAGCAGAAAGACCCCGAGATGGCCGGCGTGTCCTTTCCAGGAGGACACCAGGTCCTCATGCACTGTCTGCCTAGCCACCCTCACCACAGACATCACAATTCAAACCCTCCCTCTCTGCACTCTGAGCCGAGGAAACCTCTCTTCGAAGTCCTGAGCCTCTCTCTTAAACAAACCTCGAAAACAGTCCCCACTGAGGGCACTCGGAGTGCAGGGAGAAAGAGGCAAGAGTGAACCACCCTGCGCCTGGCCATGGTGCCCTGAAACACTCACGGAGCCACCCAGAGGGAGGTTCCGTGATTCCCATAGGTCAGGTGACCTCACACACCCCCTAGGCAGCCTCACCTACGGTTGCCAGAAATTTAGCAAAACAGCCAAACATGAACAGAAAACATTCAGCAGGATGGCCAGTTGTTACAGTTTGAATTTCAGATAAAGAAGAGCTCATGCTCAGTATACGTATTGCCATGCTGTATCTGGGACGTGTTTATCCTACCTGAAATTCAGATGCAACTGGACATCTGTGTTTCACCCAGCCATCCTCCTCCTACCACAGGCCCTCCCACCTGGGGGTAGCTTCTGGGAAGGGCAGGCCTTTGGCCCCCTTGTGCCACCCACATCCTCCGTCCTTCTGTCCCAGACAGAAGTGGTAACCTGCTCCCACCTCAGCCTCTTTTCTCTTCTATCAAAGTTCCAATCTTCCCCAACACTTCGTTTACTTTCCATCACCCCCTCTGCTAGGTGTGGGAAAGCCCTCACTTTGTAATGTAATTCCATTTTACACCACGACAGTGAATGACCAAGGCCCAGGGCTGGCTTTGTGGCTGGTTGCATTTAATAAGGACCTGAAAAGTCTCCCAAGGGCTCTCCAGGATAAAGAGAAGAGGAGAGAGGTGGATGCATACGAGCAGGTGATGCAGGCGGACGGAGGGCCCTGCGGGGGGAGAAGGGGCAGCCTGGCCCGGGTTTGCCAGAGAGGAGAGTCTCGGCTGTGCTGGAGCCTGGGTCCTGAACGCAGCCGCAGGACCCAGCAAGGCCTCTCGGACAGCCTGGCCTTGTGCCATGGGCACTGCTGGATGCAGGCCCCGCGGGCCCTGGGGCATGTCCTCTGTGAGGCACCGGGGAGCAGACTTGGGTCTCAGAGAGTGCAGAGGAATCACATTTGTCATCCGCCAACTTTCCTTAACTCAAAGGCCATTAGAGCATTCTCGTTTTCTCCTTAATGCAAGGAGGCAATGTGTGACCTTAGATCTGTGGAAAAAATGAAAAAAACAAGGTGGAGGTGGCACCATTTTTAAAATGAGCTTCCTGCTCGTTGTGGCCATGGAGTGCTCCCCGTGCCTCGGAGTCTCAGGCCGCATTCCGGGGCCAAGCAGGGTCCTGGGCCCAGGACGGAGGTGCCGGCAAGAGCGGGCCTGGGTGGACGGGCACGAGAGGAAGTGCGAGTCCAAACAGAGCCCAGGGCTGGCCTCGGCTCCAGCCTCCCCTGCCACACTGCACCTGTCGGTGCCCGGTGGGTGCTGAGTGCCGCACGGTGCATTCCACCCACCACTGACGCAACTGTCAGTCACGCAGCCGAGAGGTGGGCACTTTACAGAAGAGGAAGCGGAGACTCACAGAAGAGAAACACCAAGCCCAACACCGAGCAGTTTGTGGGTGGCAGGGTCTGCATGGAAGCAGGGTCCACCTGACCCCATGTCCACACCCCGAGCCCACATCCCACATCCCAGATTCCAAACCCACCGGCAGTCCACACCAGATCAGCTCTGTGGGAGGCTGCGTTTGCTGATGAAATGGCTGCCCGCTACTGTGCGCAGAAGAACCTGTTCCCTACAGAATCTGTGTAGATGACTTGGTTTCTGTCACATGGATGTGCCACTGTGAGCTTCATAAATAAGAACAGCAAGCCAGGCCAGACGCAGTGGCTCACGCCTGTAATCCCAACACTTTGTGAGGCCGAGGCAGGTGGATCACCTGAGGCCAGAAGTTCGAGACCAGCCTGGCCAACATGGTGAAACCTCATTGCTACTAAAAATACAAAAAATTTGCTGAGTGTGGTGGTGCTGCCCGTAGTCCCAGCTACGTAGGAGGCTGGGAAAAGATAATCATTTGAACCTGGGAGACGGATGTTGCAGTGAGCCGAGATTGCGCCGCTGCACTCCAGCCTGGGTGACAGAGCAAGACTCCGTCTTGGGGGGAAAACAACCCAGCAAGTCAGGGTGCACAACAGACCCTCCTGGGAATGGCCTGAATCGCTCCTTGTGGATGGCCAGGCACATCCCCTCAGTCCAGCCAAAGCACAGAGCCCTTCCTGCGCTCTGTCCCCTGCCCATATCTGCCCCTGCTTTCCAGACTCCATCCACTCAGTGAATGGACTCCCATTAGGGCACCGCATGTCTGCCCTCTGGGAGCGCCCTCTCCAGCTCCATGTCGGGGGCACATTTCCTCCTGGAGTCCCTGTGAGTCACGTCCCAACCACAGCCTCCTCGGCACCCGCCCTACCAGGCCATCCCGCCCATCATGCCCACCTGCAGGCATGTTCTGGATGGGCTGTCTTGTGCTTTGTTGTTTTTGCTTGTTTGTCTTGTTTGGTTTGGTTGTTTGTTTTGTTGTTGTTGTTGTTTGTTGTTTGCTTGGTTTTTTTTTTTTACAGAGTCTCGCTCTGTTGCCCAGGCTGGAGTGCAGTGGTGCAATCTCGGCTCACTGCAACCTCCGCCTCCCGGGTTCAAGTGATTCTCCTGCCTCAGCCTCCCAAGTAGCTGGGACTACAGGCATCCCCCCACCTCCGACCACCACACCTGGCTAGTTTTTGTATTTTTAATAGAGACAGGGTTTCACCATGTTGGCCAGGAGGTTTGTTTTGTTCTAATTCAAGCCAACACTTAGAATTTTAACAATTTGGCACAGAAGCCTGGCTTTCTGCCTGCCTTCTCCACAGGACGACCTCTGACAGTTGGGATGGTTAGCATGCTCTCTGGGCTTCTCTGTGATCTACACACAACTTCCCTGCCTTTCCCTGCCTGCTGGGCCTGCTGCTCTGATCTTGGCCCCTGGGACCTTCCTAAAAGTCAGGAGCTGGCACTGACGTCCGGGGCTCCAAAGCAGCACACCTGCTCACACAGAGCTCACCTCTCCAGCACGGCTCACTCGCCTCAGCTGCAGGCCTGGCCCTCTTAGCTGCAGGGCACGTACAAGGCCCCAGGGTAGTGCGAGAGGAACTTTGGAGCAAACCAGCTTCATGACCCTGTGTCCTGCCTGAGTAAATGCCTTTCAGCCTCTTTATCACCAGTGTCTCCTGGCTCCAGGGCCCTGCCTGAATACCCTTGGGCACCTCAAGCCCTCAGAGGCTGGTGTTGCCCAGTCTTCCCACAGAGGGGCCTGCCTGGTTCCAGCAGCTGCCCACTGGGTCTCCAGGCCCTCCACACCCAGCAGCTGCTGACAGCTCCACCTAAACTGGGGCCAGCCCGGTACCATGGAGATGGGACGTGTTTGCAGAGATGGCGTCCAAAGGATTTGCAGAGCTACTGGGAGGTGGGAAGAACAAGAAGTATCCCAAATGGTAGCAGTGCCAGCCTGGCTGCTGGGGCCAAGGACCCAAAGGGGATAGGGGCAGGAGGAGCCCCTATCCCTTAGGAGGAGCCACTATCCCACAGGAGGAGTCCCTATCCCGTAAGAGGAGCTCATATCCTGCAGGAGGAGTCCCTATCCCGTAAGAGGAGCTCATATCCTGCAGGAGGAGTCCCTATCCCATAGGAGGAGCCCCTATCCCACAGGAGGAGTCCCTATCCCACAGGAGGAGTCCCTATCCCATAGGAGGAGTCCCTATCCCATAGGAGGAGTCCCTATCCCATAGGAGTCCCTATCCCACAGGAGGAGTCCCTATCCCACAGGAGGAGCCCCTATCCCACAGGAGGAGCCCCTATCCCACAGGAGGAGCCCCTATCACACAGGAGGAGCCCCTATCCCACAGGAGGACTCCCTATCCCACAGGAGGAGCCCCTATCCCACAGGAGGAGCCCCTATCCCACAGGAGGAGTCCCTATCCCACAGGAGGAGTCCCTATCCCACAGGAGGAGCCCCTATCCCACAGGAGGAGTCCCTATCCCACAGGAGGAGCCACTATCCCATAGGAGGAGTCCCTATCCCATAGGAGTCCCTATCCCACAGGAGGAGCCCCTATCCCACAGGAGGAGCCCCTATCCCACAGGAGGACTCCCTATCCCACAGGAGGAGCCCCTATCCCACAGGAGGAGCCCCTATCCCACAGGAGGAGCCCCTATCCCACAGGAGGAATCCCTATCCCACAGGAGGAGCCCCTATCCCACAGGAGGAGCCCCTATCCCGTAAGAGGAGCTCATATCCCGCAGGAGGAGCCCCTATCCCGTAAGAGGAGCTCATATCCCGCAGGAGGAGCCCCTATCCCGCAGGAGGAGTCCCTATCCCGCAGGAGGAGTCCCTATCCCGCAGGAGGAGCCCCTATCCCGCAGGAGGAGCCCCTATCCCACAGGAGGAGCCCCTATCCCACAGGAGGAATCCCTATCCCACAGGAGGAGCCCCTATCCCACAGGAGGAGTCCCTATCCCACAGGAGGAGCCCCTATCCCACAGGAGGAATCCCTATCCCACAGGAGGAGTCCCTATCCCACAGGAGGAGCCCCTATCCCACAGGAGGAATCCCTATCCCACAGGAGGAGCCCCTATCCCACAGGAGGAGCCCCTATCCCACAGGAGGAGCCCCTATCCCACAGGAGGAGCCCCTATCCCACAGGAGGAGCCCCTATCCCACAGGAGGAGTCCTTATCCCGTAAGAGGAGCTCATATCCTGCAGGAGGAGTCCCTATGCCACAGGAGGAGCCCCTATCCCACAGGAGGAGTCCCTATCCCACAGGAGGAGCCCCTATCCCACAGGAGGAGCCCCTATCCCACAGGAGGAATCCCTATCCCACAGGAGGAGCCCCTATCCCACAGGAGGAGTCCCTATCCCGTAAGAGGAGCCCCTATCCCACAGGAGGAGTCCCTATCCCACAGGAGGAGCCACTATCCCATAGGAGGAGTCCCTATCCCATAGGAGTCCCTATCCCACAGGAGGAGCCCCTATCCCACAGGAGGAGCCCCTATCCCACAGGAGGAGTCCCTATCCCGTAAGAGGAGCTCATATCCTGCAGGAGGAGTCCCTATCCCACAGGAGGAGTCCCTATCCCACAGGAGGAGCCACTATCCCATAGGAGGAGTCCCTATCCCATAGGAGTCCCTATCCCACAGGAGGAGCCCCTATCCCACAGGAGGAGCCCCTATCCCACAGGAGGAGTCCCTATCCCGTAAGAGGAGCTCATATCCTGCAGGAGGAGTCCCTATGCCACAGGAGGAGCCCCTATCCCACAGGAGGAGTCCCTATCCCACAGGAGGAGCCCCTATCCCACAGGAGGAGCCCCTATCCTGGGTGGCCGGGGACACAAGGTTGTGAAGGGGACAGAGCGATGAGTGGGAATGCCCACACTGGGGGTCGGGGTGGCTGGGGACACAAGAGAGGATGTGAGTCAGACCCGAAAGTGAAAGTCCTGCTGGCTCAGCCGCATGCTGGACCTCACAGTAAGCAAGTGCTGCCACAGGAGTCTTTATGTACAAGAGTGACAATATCAGAGTTTTCTTGCAGGATGACCATCTCAGCGGTGCCTGGTGGAGCAAATGAGGTGACAGTTGAAGGTGGTGGGGACTCTGTGAACAGCAAATGCAGGAAAGGGAAGCCAAGAAACACTTCATTTAAAGCTTGAAATAGGAGTTGCCAGAGGCGTTAGCCCAGGTCCCTCAGCAGGAAACAGGACCTTGGGGTGTCTAACCCCCAACCCTGTGCCCCAGGGTTATGGGGTCTATGAGTTCTGCAAGGGTTCCCAAAAATACATAAGAACTGGAGCAAAGATTCTTTTCTCCAAAATATGAAAGTAAAAAATCCGATTGATATTTGAATGCTTACAAACAAAATTTCCCATCTATGAGCACAATGCATATGAGCACAGTGCACCTCAACCCTCACATACTTCCTATCAATTCTACTTCGTGTGGGCTACTGAGGCAGTTTCACACGTTTGGTGGGATTTGCATGGAGCCTCCAGATGTCGGAGGTCTTGAAGCCTGAGACGCAGAGAGAGAAAAAGGAGAAAGGGAGTGAGAGAGAAGCAGTGAGTGACCACAGAGGAGCGCTGAGACTTCCTCCTCCTAATACCCCACTTTTTCCAACTCGAGTGTCAAGGACTTTGCATGCACTGGGGCCTGGGAAAGCCACAGTTCAGTGGTCCTACTGTGGTTTTTAGGGCCACAAAGAACCTTTCACTTTGCCCTCAAACCAAATTGGTACCCTCCTATTGCTGAAGACAGCTTCCTTTGTTTTCCATTTCAGCAGAAACAAGTGAGGTAGCAGAGAAGCACTGAGGACCCCAAAAAGCCCCCTAGGGTTCGGATCTCGCCCAAGAGAGGCATCATGACTGCAGGTTTGGGCACGGGGGTGGGAAATGGAGGCCTCCACTCATCCTTAACACACAGGGACCTGTGTGGCTGGCGTTCATTGTGCTAAGCGTCTTAGAAAAATAGCTATTAAATATATAAACTGTTAAATGTGTATGAATCCCTTGTACCTAATGGCAAAGATGAGACACTCACATGGCATGCATTCAGACCGAAGGGGCTGCTCCTGAGTGCTCTGACCACAAAACACAGGGGCCGGGGGCCTGCACATCAGAGGCCTGGAGATGAGGCGCCCTGAGGCACTAACTAAATGTTTGGGTATGCCTAGGAGGTCAAGAATAACTAAGCTCGTGCGTAGCCTAAGAAATGCTGAATAATTTTCTAAGAAAAATGATGGCAGATACAACATTCATAATATCTGGCACATAGAGGGTACACAAATATTTGTTGCATATTTGAATGAATAGCAGAGCATTTGCATTTTTGTGTAATTTTTATCATCGTATAATCAAAATCCAAAATTCATAGCAACATCCACCAGGCAAAGAGCTCAATGGGCTTCCCTCTCCACACCTGCTCCCGTTAGCCCCCAGCATCAAGTGGTTTGTGGCCAGCACCCTCTCCCTCCCCTGGTGATGACCAGAAGACAGAAAAAGATGCAGGAAGGGGCTTCTCAGCATGCTCCTGTCCACCCACAAATAGGCCAAAGGGCCCCTCCTCACCCCCTGACCCCATGCCCCTCACGCCTTCAAGGTGGCGCTGGGGGAACTGCGCTGGGGGAGCTCCGCTCAGAGACGCTGAGACCCCTTCGCAGTGGAGTTACGCTCACTCACTTCTGCAGCTGCCGAGGGGATGCCCCTCTCAGGAGCCATGTGTCAGGGTGCCCTTCCCTTCACTTTCCTCTTTTGTCACCGACCTTCACAGATCATGCTCCTTTAACACAACCAACAGTCTTATGAAACAAAGCTTCTGAGAAATCACAGTACGATTCCACAGATCTGGCCCGAAGACCTGGAAAGAACCTGAAGAATCGTGCTTTGAAGGTCCAAGAAGGGAAAGGAGAAGAACGCCACCCAGGAATGCAGGGGAACAGGTGCACTCGGATAAAAAGCCACACACCGCGCTGCACCGCAGGGAATGCAGAAAGGACAGGCACACTCAGGTCCATGACCTCACTGCCCAGGATGAGCACGAGAAAGAGGCAGCTCAGGACGGAGACATGGGAAGGGTGGGAGATGCCGGCAGGCAGAGAAGTGAGAGCCAAGTCCCGTCCTGGGGAGCAGACACACGTCGGGTGGCAGGGGCTGAGGGAGGGCTTGGAAAAGAGGCTGTAGAGGTGCCAGGCCCAGAGTGAGTAGCAAGGGCCATGGGAGCCAAGCGGTGCTTGGGGCTGGGGCCCAGGAACGGAGCTGGGGGTGCCCGGCCCAGCCTCCCACTCCTCGCTGTTCCCCAGGTGCAGAGCAGGGTGGAGGTGGACCTGAGTCTGGGAGCTGAAGGAAGTGGGAAGGGGCTGAGGCTCCTGGAGAGGAAGAAAGTGTCCTCTGAGAGATGCTGGCACACATCCTCCAGAAAGTCCCAGGCTGGCTAGGGCCGGCTGCTTGGTGACACAGGCTCCTGGGTCCTGGGACCAGCCCTGACCACTGCTGGCACAGCAAAGCTGGTCACCCGACGGCTGCCCTGTGGAGAGGACCAGGCAGACAAAATGGAAACCACCATCCAGCAGGTGGTCCGGCCACAGCCCCAGTCACCGAGACTCCTGAAGACGGTCAAGGCCAGGAGCCCAGGCCAGCCCCCACCTTCCACCTCCCTGCAGCTGGTTGTGGCCACAAGGTAAGTCCACCAATGAGCATCAACCGTGGTGTTTGTAGGACTTCGGGTGGCTTTTTAAAAGTAGGCTGTGTGTATCATACAAACCAGGAAGTCCTACAAAGAGAGGGGGTAACAAGCACAGACCAGCAGCACCAGGATGTGCAGACACCACAGAGCACCCTTTAGCTCTTCCTCCTCCCTCCGTCCCCCCCACACCTTACATGTTATTATCAAAGCATTTACATAATGCCCCTCAACCCAGCAGTCACTCTGAAATGAGATTCTCAGCAGTGAGAGGTCCTGGGAGTGGAAGCCCTGGAGTCAAAGCAGGAAGGGAAATGGAGCTTGGATCCCTAAGGGACCTGCATTCCTGCCTTGGGGCTGCTTGGGCTGGGATCTGGGCCTACCACATAGGAGCTGCTCAAGAGCTAGCCATTCAACTCCCGCCTACCTTCATAGTCTCTGAAATAGGGGGGGCCACGTGCCCATCGTGAGGAGCAGGTGCCAGCTCCTTTTATGGAGAGACTGGATGTCTGCTGGGCTGGAGCTGCTCATGTAGGTGTTGACAGAACACTGCCCAGACCAAGGCTCTGAGGAGGACAGAAGTGGGAGAAAACTGAGGCAGAAGCCAGCGAGGGGGAAGTGATGGGGAGGGGGCTGGTGCTGTGCCATAACCTTCACTGGCCCTGGTGGGCAGGCTCAGAGCTCGCCGGGCACCCCTCACAACCAGGGGGTCCACCTGGAGCATCGGGCAGGTTTGGAACGGTGACCTCCACATCGGGCGTGTTTGGAACGGTGACCTCCACATCGGGCGTGTTTGGAACGGAGGCCTCCAATCAGCGAACATTGCAAAGCACCTAGCCACGCACACACTCTGGTGTGGGGATGGTGAGATCATCTGGGTGCATAAAGTGGTGATGGCCACACAGACGTTAGCTGTAACGTTCACCAACAACTCATCTCCAAAGGAGCCAGGGAACAAGGCCTGCCTGGGGCAGTCAGGGGAGGTGCTCAGCAGGCAGGGGCGGGAGGGGCAGAAGCGGTGCCTGAGCTGGACCTGGAGGGACTGGTGAGAAGTGGAAGAGCGGAGGGAAGAAGCGGCTGCGGAGGCTGCGGAGGCTGGGCCTGGTCTGGGGAGGCTGGGCCTGGTCTGGGGAGGCTGTGGAGGCTGGGCCTGGTCTGGGGAGGCTTGTCGGGACCAGGGGAGGGTGACACCCAGTCGGTAAGGAGAGGCATTGGCTGCATGCTGGCCCCCGTGCTGAGGTTGTCTGGTTGAAGGGGAAGCCCAGCTCAGTGACCAGTGGCCTTGGCCAGAGCAATGTGGCTTCGAGGACAACCACAGGTGTCTTCCTGGATCAGCACCTGCCTGCCCCGGCCCAGCCTGGGAGAAGGACTCAGGTGTTCTTCTTGAAGAGGGTCTAGCTCTAGGGACAACTGGGAGGAGGGGGCTGGCACAGGTACCAATCACTCTGCCCCCTGCACCCAGATTTTTATAGAAATGGAAGCAAGTTACAAATCAGCATGGGGTGGGCTTTGCAGGAAATATAGTTATAGTGGAGGGGGCAGTCAGGGGTGCAAGGAGAGGAGGCTTCTGGGGACCTCAGCCAGGCTCATGAGACCCTCCATGGTAGACTGTGGGAAAACTTATCAGGGCAGGAGGAGAAAAGGGGCCCCTTTTCAATGGTATTTTTCAGCCTGCAAGAGGAAAGCAGCCTTTTTCCTATCGTTTTGCTTAGAGGCCCAAATTCTTTGTCACCCAGGCCAAAGCAGCCTGCCTGTCTTTCTGAACCCCTCACAGGGTAGCCCTGGGTGTCTTGTGAGCAGCACTGGGTTCACACAGTTCACCCGCACCCCAGATGCCTGAGCCTGATCCTATAGCTATGTGCAGTTCCCATGCCCTCTCCCCTCCGTGCGGCCGACTGGGGCAGCCAGCAGGTTCTCAAGCCTCCCACTTGAGGAAGGGGGCACCGTGCTGCTCTGCACCCGCCGTCTGACTCGCCTCAGCCCCAGATCCCTGAGAAGTGTGGTTCTGCCAAGAGGCAGCAGGCTGGATTGAAGGACCTTTTTGGATTCCTTCCCTCACAAATCCCCACCAGTGTACTCATGAGAGCCCATGAATGGTTAAAAAACAAAGCTGTAAGAGAGAGAGGTTCCCACATAAAACAAGAGTGTTAAAGTGTGAAACAGGAGGTTTGGCCCTCACCCCTCCTCTCTCTGGGAGAGTTAGGGGGTTTCCCCGCCCACGCCCTGAGAGACCATCAACACCGTGCAGGCCGGTCTGTGCTTCACAGGGCTGGCTCCTGCCTTCCTCCTTTGTGAACTCAGGGATTCATGGAGCTAAGCCATCAACACCTGGCTGAGAAGTAGGGCCTCTCCACCTTCCTCCCACTCTGCTCACAAATGGCCCTGAGGAGTGTCAGAGATCAAAGGGGCCAGCGCCCTGGCCTTCTGCTGCTCAGCCCCATAACTGCCCTCAGAGGACGGGAATTCACACCTGCTGGTGGTGGAGGGGGCCCAAGGTGTGGAGGACTGTGTTGGCTGCGGCATCATCTGCAAAGGTGAGTGAGCTTGAACTTTCACAAGGTGGCCCCAAGCCACCATAGGGGTAACAAGACAAAAGGTGTCTCCCTTCCTACATTACAGAAGGCGTTTGTGGAATTCACATCCCACTGGGTCCTTTTTTCACAGTTCCTTGGCTTGAGGCCTCTGATCCTGCTTTCCACAAGCTGACTGGGTGTCACCAAGGCCCCAGAAGGGCCCGGAGCTCCCCCTTCTCTCACCCACTCCCCGATTATGTGCTCCCAGCACAGCTCTGCAGCCAGAGGGTGAGGCTGCAAGCGAGATTCCGAGGCTGACTGATAGGCCTTCACCAGGCGGAGCCATCTTGAAGGAGAAAGAGGGAGACGGGGACGCTGTTGTGAATGGGTGGATACGTCAAGATGTGAGAAACTGAAGCTAGTAGCTGGAGTGGATCCACAGGGATTTCTATAGGCAGCCGAGTTTCCTGAACTTTTCCCGTGAAACTGACTTTGCTTTAACGAGAGCAACTGCACTGGCCATTCCCACAGGTATCTCTAGCCCCTCGTCTACGTGAAATGAGTGCATTCACTCAGATAAATCTCTAAAATGGTGGCTGGAGGCTGTTATTAGGAGGCTAGTAAAGATTTTATGCTTGATATAATATTGCCTGTGACTTAGCCACTGTTGTAGAACAATATTTTGCCTGAAACTCTTCAAATGATGTTTTGGTAGCTGTTTCTGCTCATTTTGGTTAATGTTTTTGCAGCAATAAGTCTGAGCAGCTGGATCTTTTGTTCCTCACACAGCATATTCCAGGTGGGCTGCCTGAATCCTGCATCCTAAACCCTATAAAATACCATTTCAGGAACAACTGGGTTTTTGTCTACAAGAAATTATCCCTATAATAGCTTGTATATGCCGTGAAGTAATGAGATGGTTGTTAATAGAAAAATATTTCCTAGAATAGACCATTTTTATTCAAACATCTGCCAACATGAAAACTATGTACACAGCATTGCAATGGAGTCATCGCTTTCCTAACAGTTTTCCTACAGCCTGATACCCACACCATGTACAACCTGACTGATACACCATTTACAGCCTGACTGACTGACGCCCACACCATTTACAGCCTGACTGACTGACACCTACACCATTTACAGCCTGACTGACTGACACCCACACCGTTTACAGCCTGACTGACTGACACCCACACCATTTACAGGCTGACTGACTGACACCCACACCATTTACAGCCTGACTGACTGACACCCACACCATTTACAGCCTGACTGACACACACACCGTTTACAGACTGACTGACTGACACACACACCATTTATAGACTGACTGACACCCACACCATTTACAGCCTGACTGACTGACACCCACACCATTTACAGCCTGACTGACTGACACCCACACCATTTACAGCCTGACTGACTGACACCCACACCATTTACAGCCTGACTGACACCCACACCATTTACAGCCTGACTGACTGACACCCACACCGTTTACAGCCTGACTGACTGACACCCACACCATTTACAGCCTGACTGACTGACACCCACACCGTTTACAGCCTGACTGACTGACACCCACACCATTTACAGGCTGACTGACACCCACACCATTTACAGCCTGACTGACACCCACACCCTTTACAGCCTGACTGACTGACACCCACACCATTTACAGCCTGACTGACTGACACCCACACCATTTATAGCCTGACTGACACCCACACCATTTACAGCCTGACTGACACCCACACCGTTTACAGCCTGACTGACACCCACACCATTTACAGCCTGACTGACTGACACCCACACCGTTTACAGCCTGACTGACTGACACCCACACCATTTATAGCCTGACTGACACCCACACCATTTACAGCCTGACTGACACCCACACCATTTACAGCCTGACTGACTGACACCCACACCATTTACAGCCTGACTGACTGACACCCACACCATTTATAGCCTGACTGACACCCACACCATTTACAGCCTGACTGACTGACACCCACACCATTTACAGCCTGACTGACTGACACCCACACCATTTACAGCCTGACTGACACCCACACCATTTATAGCCTGACTGACACCCACACCATTTACAGCCTGACTGACTGACACCCACACCATTTACAGCCTGACTGACACCCACACCATTTACAGCCTGACTGACACCCACACCGTTTACAGCCTGACTGACTGACACCCACACCATTTATAGCCTGACTGACACCCACACCATTTACAGCCTGACTGACTGACACCCACACCGTTTACAGCCTGACTGACTGACACCCACACCATTTACAGCCTGACTGACTGACACCCACACCGTTTACAGCCTGACTGACTGACACCCACACCATTTACAGGCTGACTGACACCCACACCATTTACAGCCTGACTGACACCCACACCCTTTACAGCCTGACTGACTGACACCCACACCATTTACAGCCTGACTGACTGACACCCACACCCTTTACAGCCTGACTGACTGACACCCACACCATTTACAGGCTGACTGACACCCACACCATTTACAGCCTGACTGACTGACACCCACACCATTTACAGCCTGACTGACACCCACACCATTTACAGCCTGACTGACTGACACCCACACCCTTTACAGCCTGACTGACTGACACCCCCACCATTTACAGCCTGACTGACTGACACCCACACCCTTTACAGCCTGACTGACTGACACCCACACCATTTACAGCCTGACTGACACCCACACCATTTACAGCCTGACTGACTGACACCCACACCATTTACAGCCTGACTGACACCCACACCATTTACAGCCTGACTGACTGACACACACACCATTTACAGCCTGACTGACTGACACCCACACCATTTACAGCCTGACTGACTGACACCCACACCATTTACCCCTTCGTGTTGGCACATCGAAGAGCAGCATCTTAGTGGTCTGAGTCACAGTGACAAAACTTTCAGGTAGGTCCACCCTTTAGCTGTAGATGGAGCAGGTGCCCCCTGCAGAAGAATCTGCCTACATCCCACGCCAGAACTGGGCCTCGCTCCACAGACAGGGAGGAGGAGAAAGTGCAGCCAGTTTCCAAAACAGGCATAATTTAGATGTGCCCAGGCTCTGATCCAGATGCACCCTGTGCTGAGACTGCAGAAGCTGCTGTCATCGACCCCTCAGCACCCTACTGTGAGCTTTGCTCCGTAACCACTCCTGTGACAAGCAAACGAATTAAATAGCGTGAAGGATGGCCACCCTGGACTCTGTCCACAGAGGTGCCAGCTGAGAGTGTGCTCTGACCGTGGCACACCGGTCCCTCCGGGCACTAAAATGAGACCCTGTTCATTTCGTGTCTCCCACCAAGCAGCTGTCAGGCGACAGTGGCTTTTGGTCCCCGTGTCCTGTGAGACAGTTTCAAACAGGTGGTCTATACAGGTTTTAAAAATTCCCTATCCCATTACTGGTTCCCAAAGCTATCCAATTCCCCCTCCTTCTTCTGGGGAGAATGTTGTTATGAACAGAAACCCTGAATCGGAGGTTGCTTCTTCTTTCCTTTCTCCCACATTATTCCTCAGCCTCCTCAGAAGACCCACGACCAAACACAGGAGGAGTCTTCCCTTTGGGGCCGAGTTGCTTCAGAAAGGCTCAGAGTGGCTGACAAGCTTCTCTGGGTACAGATGGGTGCACAACCATCTCAGCAAATGCCAATGCTTTTCAGCAAATAAAGCCCAAGGGGTGACTGGCGATGGCTTTGGGGCTGCAGTATGTCTATGCTGGATGACTGTTTGGGGGACGCAGCCCTTCCCTCTATTCAAAGTGCTATGTAGCTTATATTTATTTAAATGAGTTAAAACTTATCTTCTTTGGAGACTTTTTTTTTTTTTTTTTTGAGACGGAGTCTCGCTCTGTCGCCCAGGCCGGACTGCGGACTGCAGTGGCGCAATCTCGGCTCACTGCAAGCTCCGCTTCCCGGGTTCACGCCATTCTCCTGCCTCAGCTTCCCGAGTAGCTGGGACTACAGGCGCCCGCCACCGCGCCTGGCTAATTTTTTGTATTTTTAGTAGAGACAGGGTTTCACCTTGTTAGCCAGGATGTTCTCGATCTCCTGACCTCATGATCCACCTGCCTCGGCCTCCCAAAGTGCTGGGATTACAGGCGTGAGCCACCGTGCCCGGCCGAGACATTTTAACATAGACAAGACCATCAGACTCAGAGGAGAACCTGCAGACCATCTGGTCCAGTGTTCTAGCCAGGGGGCCACAGAATCTCCCGTGTGCTCTGAGACCGCTGACGTGCTATGGCCTCAGGGGGCCACGGAATCTCCCGTGTGCTCTGAGACCACTGACGTGCTCTGGCCTCAGGGGGCCACGGAATCTCCCGTGTGCTCTGAGACCACTGACGTGCTCTGGCCTCAGGGGGCCCACGGAATCTCCCGTGTGCTCTGAGACCACTGACGTGCTATGGCCTCAGGGTGCCACGGAATCTCCCGTGTGCTCTGAGACCACTGACGTGCTACGGCCTCAGGGGGCCCGGAATCTCCCATGTGCTCTGAGACCACTGATGTGCTATGGCCTCAGGGTGCCACGGAATCTCCCGTGTGCTCTGAGACCACTGACGTGCTATGGCCTCGGGGGCCCACAGAATCTCCCGTGTGCTCTGAGACCACTGACGTGCATGGCCTCACGGTGACACGGAATCTCCCGTGTGCTCTGAGACCACTGACGTGCTATGGCCTCAGGGGGCCATGGAATCTCCCGTGTGCTCTGAGACCACTGACGTGCTACGGCCTCAGGGGGCCCGGAATCTCCCATGTGCTCTGAGACCACTGATGTGCTATGGCCTCAGGGTGCCACGGAATCTCCTGTGTGCTCTGAGACCACTGACGTGCTATGGCCTCGGGGGCCCACAGAATCTCCCGTGTGCTCTGAGACCACTGACGTGCATGGCCTCACGGTGACACGGAATCTCCCGTGTGCTCTGAGACCACTGACGTGCTATGGCCTCAGGGGGCCATGGAATCTCCCGTGTGCTCTGAGACCACTGACGTGCTACGGCCTCAGGGGGCCCGGAATCTCCCATGTGCTCTGAGACCACTGACGTGCTATGGCCTCAGGGTGCCACGGAATCTCCCGTGTGCTCTGAGACCACTGACGTGCTACAGCCTCAGGGGGCCCAGAATCTCCCATGTGCTCTGAGACCACTGACGTGCTATGGCCTCAGGGTGCCACGGAATCTCCCGTGTGCTCTGAGACCACTGACGTGCTATGGCCTCGGGGGCCCACAGAATCTCCCGTGTGCTCTGAGACCACTGACGTGCTATGGCCTAAGGGTGCCACGGAATCTCCCGTGTGCTCTGAGACCACTGACGTGCTATGGCCTCAGGCATGGTTCTGGCTCGGTCAGCCTGGGGGCTCTGGTAATGTACACTCTAAAAAGGCATCAGGATTGATTCTAATCTGTGGCCATGTTGAGAACTGTTGTATAGATAAAAAAGCAGAAGCCAAGGTATTTGTTTAAACATGTTTTGTGACATATTTGGGGGATGTAACCCTTGGAAAATGGCAGTCACCCTGGGATTCCTGGACTGGTAGCTGTGGGAACTCCCACGTGCCAAAAGTGCAGCCCCAGACTCTCCAGGTAAAATCAAGGTTCTGCTGACTGTTCCCCAGGTAACATGCAATGCACTTTGTTTCCTGACTGACTGTGGGTGTTAGTTCACTGCAATATAACAAGCACATATTAAGAATGTTTATGCCAGGCCCTCTGGGAAATACCATATTTATGTGCACGTATGTACAAATCCTCGTGCCTGCGTTCAGGAAGGAGAGGGGAGAGGGGTCTCCCCAGGCAGGCAGCCAGAGGACAATGCGGCACAGGACGGTGCACCAGCTTCTGTGCTCTAAGCAGGGGATTCTCTCTCTCTCTGCACTGGAAGATAAGATAAACGCATTGCTTTTAAAATGAGCCACCCTCACGTCCTCTTCATGCCTCCGTGGTGTAAGCACTTCTAACCAGCTGTGCTTTTCTCAAGCCAAGAACTGAGACGCAGTTTCAGGACCAGACCTTTTCACTGGGGCCTAGAATGTCAGCTCCCACAGCCACTTAAGGAAACAGAAGTATGTGCAACAATTTTACTCTGAAGGTAAATGAAATTCGTGACAAGCAGGGGCACATGGAAAGTTCTATGAGGATTAGTTCAATCCCATTGGAGAATCCAGAAAGATTTCATGGATGAGGGAGGATTTGTACTGGATTTTGTTTGAGAAAAAAAGACTGCCTAGCCAAGTTACATAGAAGGTACTTGGTAAATGCTAAATGGAATATCAATAAACAAGTAAGTACTGAACCAGATCGTGGCTTTGATGTGTAAGCTCAAGATAGAGTCAACAGTACATGTGCATGAGTGTGCATGCCCGTGTGCACGTGTAAATGAGAGCATGATCTGAACACATGTGTGCTGGAGGGTGTGCACGTATGCGTGCATGTGTGTGTGCAGATGAGTGTGCCCGTGTACAAATATGTGTGCATGCCTGTGTGTGTGCATGTTCTTCTGCACAGGTGACCTGCCCTCCCTCCTTTGTTGCTGCCCATAGTTCCAGGGAGTTTCTGCCTCAATCCCTCTCTCAGTATGGTAAGCGGAACCCTGCCTTCTTCTTGGTAGCCCACTATGCCAGATTTAACTGTTTTATGATTAAATATCCTCCATGCAACATTAGGAAAGTCAGGAGTCCTAAATAAGTCACGTGGTTTGGCACTTTAACAGCTGTGATCTCATATGCGCTTCACAGTAACCCTATGCAATGGAGATCAGTCAATTAACAATTGAGTTCAGCTGCCTGTCACTGAAAAGCTAAGGAACTGGATGAAACCAGATGTCAGGGTTTGCGTTCTCTCACAGAACGTGAAGTCCAAAGGAAGGCATTTTGGAGCTGGTCACCAGGGAGCCAGCTGGGGTCCACCTTGTTTAGGGTCTAGATGGGTGGTGTGCTGGCACATCGTAGTGAAAAATAGTGCTGCTTTCATTTTACAGATGAAAAACTCAGGCTTCCAGAGGCCAGGTTATTTTGCCCCAAATCACACAGTGAAGAAGAGCTGGGTCTGGAATTCTAAGCCAGACTCTACACTCAAATCTGTTTGACCCAAAGTCTGTGCACTTTCACAGACCATAGGTAGACAAGCGTGTGTACTCACGTGGAGGAGGTGGGCTCAGAAGAATCGATGGCCACGGAGACCATGTTCATGCGTGGGCCAGGAGGAATCTGGAGAGGCTGGAGCCTTAGACTCACTTTTAGTCTCGCTGTTTGACTGGAATAAGCTGTCCTGTTCCTAATCTCTGCAAGCAGACTGTTCTGGTGTCCCCAAGATCACTCCCTTTGCTGTTTCAAGACAGGCAAGGGCTGGGTCTAGGGGTCCTGGCAGGTAGGGCTTTTCCGGTCTCCTGAGGTGCCACCAGCTACTGTCTGCTGAGGCTGCTCAGATATTTTCATTCTAATCCTTGATAGCAGGCATAGCTCTGCCGTTTATAACCATCCCATCCACCTGACATAGGTTCTTGCCGGGGGCGTTTGAATTGGTGCCTCTCGGTCTGATCCAACAGCCCACTGCGATGCCCTGGCCAAGTGGCAGCCCTGAAATGGTCCCATTGATAGGAAGGGTCCAGTACCGTCTGTGATGCTGTGAAAAGCATAGTGTTTCTCCTCGTTTCCCAGCATTCCTGGAAATATATGAAATACAGGGCACTTTATCTTGCCACAAAGTTATTTTAAGAAGGAAAATCAATTTTATTTTATTTTATTTTGTTTTTTGAGATGGAGTCTGGCACTGTCACCCAGGCTGGAGTGCAGTGGCGTGATCTTGGCTCACTGCAACCTCCGCCTCCCGGGTTCAAGCGATTCTCCTGCCTCAGCCTCCTGAGTAGCTGAGATTACAGGTACCAACGACCACGCCCAGCTAATTGTTTTGTATTTTTAGTAGAGATGAGGTTTCTCTATGTTGGCCAGGCTGGTCTCGTACTCCTAACCTCGTGATCCACCCACCTTGGCCTCCCAAAGTCCTAGGATTACAGGCTTGAGCCACCACACCCGGCCAAAATCAATTTTAAAAATCCTACAAAACACACACTGTAAATGCCGAGATGTATCTGTATGTAGACCCTGAAGGTTGCACTGCGACCACTTCTGCAAAGCTGCTCACTCCACCTGCCTGCCTCACCTACTTCCTGCAGGGCTGTGCCTGCTCCTCAATTCACATGTCCAGTTTTTCTGGGACTCTATTGAATGCCCTAATTCCCATCCTTTCCTAGAGCCCTGTCTTTCTAAGCTATATGGCTCCTTCTTTTTCAGGCCTTGGAGAAGGTTGAACAGATGTCACTGAAGTCACATCCCTCCTTCCTTCACTGACAGTTCCCTCCGTGGCTGACACTTAGTGCTGGGTGTCTCCTCCCACTGCCAGGAGGTACAAGCTGCCTGCAGGCTTCCACCAGAGGCAGCTGCTGACAGACAGATGCTCACACTGCCAAGGGCAGAGATGCTGCTCCTCTGCCAGCTGCCCCATCTTGTCTCTCTGCCTGCCCAGGCTCTGGTGCTCACAGTTGAACTTGACAGGTTCTTTTCCAGGCTCCTCATAAGACTTTTTCCATCCAATATTCAGGCCCCCTTTCCTCCAGGAGCAACCACAGGACCCGGCCACGAGCTCAGCTCTGTTTCTGCACCTGGCAGAATGCCTGACGTACAGCAGTTGCTTGGGAAACAAAGTTTAGCTGGTGAGTGAACAAAAAGGTGCTGCAAGGCAGTGACCCTCCTGGATCTCTACACAGCTGCCTGAAACAAAACCCTGCATGCACCCTGCAAGAGAATTCTGAAAACCTGGAGCCCACCACACACACACAGAAATAAAACTCCTCTGCTTGTGCCCCTAAGAGAATTCTTAAAACTAGGAAGCACCCCCATTTTGAAATAAAACTCTGCTTCACTCCCTAAGAGAATTCTTATAACTGGGAACCTAGGAACCCCCTCCTAGGTGGGTTCCTAGCGTAGCATGTGGCTGAATTCTACACTGTAAATGTGCTGAGTGCGGCCGAATTCTACACTGTAAATGTGCTGAGTGCGGCCGAATTCTACACTGTAAATGTGCTGAGTGTGGCCGAATTCTACACTATAAATGTGTTACATGTGTCTGAATTTTATCCTTTGAAATGGTTAATGTTATGTTTCTTTAATTTCACCTCAATAAAAAATTCATTTAAAAAAATATATTGTGACCGTAAGCCACTAATTTTGTGTTTTTTAAATTTTTGCCATGGATCCCTTTGGTGATCTGGTGAAACCCATAGACCTCTTCTCAGAATAATGTCCTTAAATGCAGAAAGTAAAATACACAAGATCAAAAAGGAAAACAAGTGTACCAAAATACACCCATCAAATGAGCTTAATCATGGTACAGTCACACATGTGCCTCTTTAACACATCGTGCTGGTATGATAGATACCGGTTTTCGTACAAGGCTCCTGGCTCATAACTCCCACGCCTCTTGTTACAGTCTTTTGTTATAACCTTGGCTGTGTTAGGTCTCAGGGGCAGCCTCTGACCTCTTGCCCCCTTTCAGATTAGAGTTCTGTCCCAAGGGAGGATTCTAATCTTCCCTGCCTTTCTGGTTGTGGGTCTAAGACCCTCCCATGAAGCAAGACCCCCTATAGCCTGTGGGAAGTCATGCTGATGTCTTGAAGCTTCCATAAAAACCCTAGAGGACTGGGATCCGGGAGCTTCCAGAGAGCTGAACATTTGGAGGTTCCTGGAGGGTGACACCCAGGAAGGGCATAGAAGCTCTGTGTCCCTTCCCTACACCTTGACCTACCTTAGAAGCTCTGTGTCCCTTCCCTACACCTTGACCTACCTTAGAAGCTCTGTGTCCCTTCCCTACACCTTGACCTACCTTAGAAGCTCTGTGTCCCTTCCCTACACCTTGACCTACCTTAGAAGCTCTGTGTCCCTTCCCTACACCTTGACCTACCTTAGAAGCTCTGTGTCCCTTCCCTGTACCTTGACCTACCTTAGAAGCTCTGTGTCCTTTCCCCTATATCTTGACCTACCTGTCTCTTCATCTGTATCCTTTGCAATAGCAATATCCTTTACAATAAATCAGTTAACGTGTTTCTCTGAGTTCTATGAGCTCCTCCAGCAAATTAATCGAACCCAAAGAGGGAGCCATGGGAAGCCCAACTTGAAGGCAGCCTGTTGGAAGTTCCAGAAGCCTGGGCCTGTGACTGGTGCAGGGGGCCGGCAGTCTTGGGGACTGAGCCCTCAACCTGTGATATCTGATGCTAACTCTGGGAAGATGGTGTCAGAACACCAGAGCACACTCAGCTGGCATCAGCTGCTAGGTGTGTGGGGAAAACCCCACACATTTGGCCACAGAAGGCTTCTGTGCTGATGACTGCTGTGGTGTGAGAGCAGAGGAGAAACACGGTTTGAGGAGAGTTTTTCCCACACACACACATTAACAAGGTCTAGTTTGTTAATCCTAGTAACAATATGTAAGTCCAGTAACTATTGCAACTTTGAAGCAATGCTAAGCAGAAACGATGTTTCAAGTTATCTGCAACAATTATAATGTGATAGAAACTATCTCTGATTTCTCTTGGTGACAAAGTCACAGACACTTTAAGACCGCTACCATTTATTGCTTGCATGTATAATGGAAGGAAATGCTAACTTTCACTTAGAGGTTAGTGGGAAAAAATGTAATTTTTTCATTCAAGTTCATGAACACACTAAATTAAGAATCTGACCCTATTCTAAACATAAGAAATTTATTCTGAATTGCACGATCATTACATCAGTACTAACTTGTTAGTAATATATACTTGAACAAAAGAGCATATGTGTGCTATACAATTTGACAAATAAATAACATTCCAAGTAAATTTATGTTAAAATGTATGTCTTGATGAGATGGACGAGGTTGGGAGTTTTTTCCAATGAGTTTTTCTGTGGGTGGCTAATACCTATTACTGGAATGATAGAGAGTCCAGCATCAATTATTTTCCTAGTGTTTATTTGTAGGGCTATAAGCATGGAGGAAACTTTGTCCACATACAGAGTTTCATTGAGCAACAGGACTCAATTGTTTGAACTCCTCCAGAGTTATATGTCAAAAATCACATGGTAGGCCGGGCACGGTGGCTCATGCCTGTAATCCCAGCACATTGGGAGGCCAAGGTGGGCAGATTGCTTAAGCCCAGGAGTTCAAGAATAGCCTGGACAACATGGCAAAACCCCATTTCTACAAAAAATACAAAAATTAGCTGGGTGTGGTGGTGAGCACCTGTAGTCCCAGCTACTCAGGAGGCTGAGGTGGGAAGACTGCCCAAGCCCAGGAAGCAGAAGTTGCAGTGAGCTGAGAGTGCACCACTGGAATCCAGCCTGGATGATAGAACGAGGCTCTATCGCAACAACAACAACAAAAAAATCACATGGACATGGTAGTATCTCATCAAGATTTATGTGTAATGCTCTATCAGTTGACAATTCAATTTGAACCTCCTCCAATTCTGATAAGAGAATTGGAAGCCAACTTTCTTGGGAAAAGTTTGTTTTTAGTTATTAAATACCACAAGACTTAGCAAATGTCCCTTTATTCTACCTGTTCCTCTTTCGCTTTACGATGCTGAGTGTCCCTGTGGTCTTGTGGTGTGTGACGCAGAGCTCAGGCCTCTGTTCTGTTGGCATAGACTGTAGAAGAGGCAGCATGGGCTTGGAGCCGGCACTCACGGGGGCTGGTTCCTGATCCCTGGATTTCTTTCTTGTTTTTTTTTTTTTTTATTGTTACAATTTTGGATTTTATTGTGATCAAGATATCAACTCATTGGGCAGTTTTTAATATACAATACTCGCATTTACATTTTAAAAGTGTAAAATTTCTGACTTCCGTATTAAGGATGAGTTTTAACAGGGCTAGTGCAGAGGCAAGCAGGTCAGTCAGAAGGTTATGGCAGTAATTCAGGCAGATGAGGAGGACTGACAAATGCTAATGGAGGAGGTAATGAGCACTGGTTAGGTCATAGTTGTTCTTCAAGTTCTCTGACTGTTAGTTTTCAGAATTAGGGTTAATTAATCTATTTGTTTATTTATTTTCGTGAGGCAGGAGAGTTTCAAAAATTTAGGCTTTAATTTCTCTTGAAAAATTAGAAACTTTGGAAACGAATTCTGTGTCTAACTGACCTCATGGAAACAATTCAATATAGCTGACTCCATTATGTGAATTCTGACTGCAGCAAAAGCATCAGCTCTCTTACCAGGCCGGGTCTGTGGAGGTGCTACTGGGTCATTTCAGGAAGTTCAGCCTAGATCCTGCTCCTTCATCCATTTCGATGATTCTGGATTCTCCTAATCCCCGTATGACATTCCTGGCTGCTTAAACTAGCTGTAGTAGATGTACATATCTGCAAATAAACCCTGATCAATTTTAAAAAATGTCTATAGCCTGGGTTAGATGACAAGACCCCATCTCTTAAAAACAAAAGATTCCTGTATATGCCTTGAACTGGGCCCTGACTGTGTCTTTCCAGTGGCGAGTCTTACACCAAGACTATGAATATGGTCTCTGTCATCAGGTGCTATTGATTAACAAATCATTCTCTCAGGGCCTCTTTTTTCTTACCTATAAAATGATAGGTGGTAGAATGAGTTATTGTTCAGTGAACACTCACTCCGAATCTCCCCTCCATAGGAGGGTCACGTGTCCACTCCTCAGGGGTGTTGGGTGGACACAGGATTGCTTGGGCCAGTGGGGCCTGGGCAGGAGGGAAAGTGAACCGTGTCTGCACCCAGCTGAAGGACAGCAGCATTTCTGCTCCGAGCTGCCCCACTCCCACCCCATGAGAAGAACCTGCCCGGGCTCCAGGCTCCAGATGAGACACATGGAATAGCCCAGGATTCTGCCATAAGACCCTGAGTGAGAAATGATGCATGTATATCACCAAGCACTGGGGTGATTTGGGCATTATCGTCGCAAAAGCTGGCAAAACCTCCAAGCGTAATTTTGAGAATAAAATGAGAAAATGCACAGGATATGCTGACCTGTGTTCTACCTACCAGAGTAAGCATCAAACATTGTTTCTGAAAACTTTCTACTGATTTCTGAAAGCTGACTGTTGGTAATTCCTTTTCTTCCAGGTTCTTCTTTCATCTTCTTTCATCCTTTATCAATCACAAAATTGTGGCTGAGGTATCTGGTTACAGCAGCTGTGTGGAACTCTGAGTGTTTCCCCTCATCTCGCTCTTCCTCTGCCCTGACGATCCAGCACCCCACACAACACCTGGCAAAGAGGCAAACAAATGGCTTGGGCAGCTCTTCCGGACACCAAAAGGAGGGGAGAGTCCAGGACCCAAGGGGAGCCCCAGTGGACCCTCTTCAGGCTTCATCTCCTGGTCCCACATGTAGTGTTCTGTTGGCAGTTGAGGCAGAATTGGGCACTCCCAGGAAGGTGCATGTTTTCAACAGAATTCTCAGAAAACTAATGATACACAGTCATCTAAACATCAGTTGCATGAACAGGGGTCAGAGGACCATTCCACAATCAAGGATGAAAAGAGCAGCAAGGGCCTAGCCACACTCACGAAATGAGCAAAACTTGTCAGGGTGTTCCTACCACCCAGATCATCACAGATAAGACTGTTTCTCCATCAGGACGAACAGAAATGAGACCCTTACCCCACCAGGAGGAACAGGGGTGAGGCCCTTCACAGCGTCGGGATGAACAGGGGTGAGGCCCTTCACAGCGTCGGGAGGAACAGGGGTGAGGCCCTTCACAGCGTCGGGAGGAACAGGGGTGAGGCCCTTCACAGCGTCGGGAGGAACAGGGGTGAGGCCCTTCACAGCGTCGGGAGGAACAGGGGTGAGGCCCTTCACAGCGTCGGGAGGAACAGGGGTGAGGCCCTTCACAGCGTCGGGAGGAACAGGGGTGAGGCCCTTCACAGCGTCGGGATGAACAGGGGTGAGGCCCTTCACAGTGTCGAGATGAACAGGGGTGAGGCCCTTCACAGTATTGGGATGACTGGAGCTGTACAGACTTCCCCAGCGGTTCTCAGAGCCTTCCCATCATCACTTAGCTGGTGCTGCCAGGGCCATCCACTAATCATGGACCTATCGAGGTCTAAACTGACACAGTCTTAGACCCCTCAGGTGTCTCCTCAGCTTGAGACATAAAAACCAAGTCCAGGTGGTTCAGGCCTCCCAGGAGCATCCTGACCTGCCTGTCATTGCTGCAGGCTCTCTGTGGCTGGTTGCTCTCCACCCATGAGGCTTTCCTCCTTTGTCTAATTTTATGCCTTTTGGATCACTGAACTATTCATAGTCTTACAGTAAAAATCTCTCTAAATTATCCTGAGTAATTTTATGTACTCACAAACCAAAGAATAGATTTGAGCACTCTCCCAATTATTCGCCCATCCTTAGGCCATGGAACATGGTAGGTTTGGGGAGGTGTTGGTTTCTTCATGCTTTCTATGTGCGATATCTTCCAGTTAATCCACTCTGCCTCCACACTGCTCTTCTGGGCCTGCCTCTTCACTTGGGTGGGATTTTATGGCATGCCATGGCAAACCTGAGGACAGAATTCGGCCTTGTCTTGTCCTGACAGCTCAGGGGCTGTGCAGGTCCTTGTTGGCTTCCTGCAGGCCCTGCCTCTGGTGGCCGTCTGACCTGGGCCGACATTGGGGACCTTGATAATGTTGGTGCAAAACTGTCTAGAGTCACTTCCAACGCAGATCTGGAATCTTCCTTCAACAGCCCTTTCCTACTTTCCTCAGTGGGGACGCAAGCAGCCTCTAAAATTAGACCAGTCTCTTTTTGGGAATTTGGAAGATTAGAGAAGAAACTGGGGAAACTAAACCTTGGACTGGATTTGAGAACCAGAGGGTCATATTTTTCACCATATCCTTTTAAGGTTGAGGAAAAGAGCTTACGTATCACAGGCCTCCTCCTGTGAAGGCCCTGGGCTCGGATGGGTAAGCTAATACCTGGGACTGTGTGTGTCCCAGGTGAACATAGTCACCATATACCCTGGAGCCATGGAAAACAGTCCTGTCCCCCACTACCTCCCTGTGAAAAAGAAGAAATCCAACAATAAAACCAATGAGAGTATTTGCAGCTGGATCAACAGCTTGTTTCCTAGTGAAAAAGTCTCAAGGCAACGCAGCAGAAAGAACTGGAGGGAAGAGGGCAGGCCCTAGCCTTGAGTCAGAGAGAGAGGAGGACAGGGAGAAACAACTGAAATGTTAGATACTGACGGTTTCCCCAAAGCCTCCTAGAGGGCAGCAGTGACAGAAACTGCATTCCAGCTGAAGGGGATCCCAGAACAGGACGGTCAGCCAGGCCCCTGCTCTTTCTGGCAGAGTCTCTGCATAGGGACATTGGGCTCACAGAATGGGCTCCTAACCTGAGACAACCCCACCAGGCCCTTCTGGCTCTAAGCAATCGCCTTCACTGACTTCTGCTTCAAAACCATTCATGCTCTGAAACTGAAAAGAGAGCCACTTATTCTGGAAGACCTCCAGAACAACTTGGAAAAGGTTCAGAGCCCAGGGCCTCTGAGTACCTTGGCGGCTAGCCAGGACTTGGTTCACCCACTTCTAAAACGGCAGGAACACAGTGGCAGGGAGCCACACAGACTCAGTTTCCCTGTTGTGTACCAAGCATGGATCTCCTCCCACCCCAGCAGCTACAAGCATCTGGCTGTTGAATAATGGAATGGCTTAACTTAGTTACACCCCAAATATCTGAATGCTCCCCTAACAGGATATCGTATGAACTTCGATCCAGCAAAGGTTCCTCCTATAGCCAGAGCCCAAGAATCAAAGGAGAGACGTGAAAGTGGTCTCTCTTGCTGCAGTGTCTGATAACCCATGTGAGGACCTTTGCTGTGTGTCCCCTTAACTTTAGGCTGATTTAGAGGTTTTGGTTCTCAAAAGAAGACAGAATTGTTCTGATGAATTGAAGTTGAAACTGCCACCTGGTCATTTCACGCTCCTCATGCTACTGAATCAACAGACAAAGAAAGGGGTTACTGTGTGCCCTGGGATAATTGATCCCAGTTACCCGGGGGAAATTGCTTTGCTGCTATGGAAGGAGAGAAGAGAGACTATGTCTGGAATTCAGGGATATTTCCAGATCCAAGTAAAGATGAATGGAAAATTAAGCAATGTACCAAAGGTACAATCACAAAGGATTCAGACCCTTCAGAAATGAAGGCTTGGATTACCTCACAATGTGAAAAAACTCCATCAAGCTGAGGTAACAGATAAGGGCGAATGGAATCCAGGGGGGAAGAAAAGTAGGAAAAGGAAATTATTATGCAAAAAAAAAATGAATCTAGGTACAGACCTTATACCTTTCTCAAAATTAACTCAAAATAGATTATAGACCTAAACATAAAACAAAGGCTGGATGCGGTGGCTCATACCTGTAATCCTAGCACTTTGGGAGGCCAAGGCGGGGGCATTGCCTAAACTCAGGAGTTCGAGACCAGCCTGGGCAATACGGTGAAACCTCATCTCTATTAAAATACAAAAATAAAAAAAAACAAATTAGCTGGGAGTGGTGGCGGGCGCCTGTACTCCCAGCTACTAGGAAGGCTGAGGCAGGAGAATCGCTTGAAACCGGAAGGCGGAAGTTGCAGTGAGCCAAGGTCGCGCAACTGCACTCCAGCCTGGTCGACAGAGCGAGACTCTGTCTAAAAAAAAAAAAAAAAACTTCCAGAAGATAATGTAGGGGAAAATACTGAGACCTTAGGCTTGGCAATGAGTTTGTAAATACACCATAATAATGATGCGTGAAATGAAATGTTGGTAAGTTGGACTTTACTAAAATTAGAAGCTTCTGTTTTGTGAAAGACATTCTCAAGAGAATGAAAAGACAGGCAATGGACCGGGAGAAAATATTTGCAAAACACATTATGGCAAAGGGCTTGTATATAATGTACACAAAGAACTCCTCAAACTCAACAATTAAAAAGTAACCTTGTTAAAAATGGGGAAAATATCTGAACAGACCCTTCACTAAAGAAGATACACAGATGGCAAGTAAGTATATAAAAGATGTGCCCAGAGTTTGAGGCTTTAGTGAGCCATGATTACACCACTGCATTGACGCCTGGGTGACTGAGACCCTCTCTCCAAAAAACAAACAAACAAAAGCCCAAAACAAATAAAAGACGGTCAATAACATACGTTATCAGGGACGTGCAGATTAAACCAATGAAATACCAGTTCATACCTATTAGAATGGCCACAATCTTTAAAGTGACGTCAAACACTGGTGAGGATGTGTAGAAAGAGGAGCTCTCATTCATTGCTGGTGGGAATGCAAAACGGTGCAGCCACTTGGAAAGATAGTCTGTTTCTTACAAAACAAAGTGTTGTCTTCACATACAATCTGGCAATCATGCACCTAGGTATTTACTCAAATGAGTTGAAAAATATGTCCACAAAAAAAACTGCATACAAATGTTTAGCAGCTTTATTCATAATTACCAAAAACTGCCCTTCAGTAGGCTAGTGGGTTAACAAACTGTGGTATATCCAATGAAATATTATTCAGCCATAAGAAGAAATGAGCTATGAAGCCGTGAATACGTGGCAGAACTTTAAATTCATGTCATGAGGTAAAAGAAACCAGTCTGAAAAGACAACATCCTATATGATTCCAATGACATGACAATCTGGAAAAGACAAAACTATGGAGACAATGAAAAGAGCAGTGGTTTCTAGAGGTTGAGAGAAGGAGGAAAAAATGGGCAGAGCACAGGGGGGTTTAGGACAGTGAAGCTCTTCCATAGGGAAGATTGGGAGAAGGAGGGAAAAAATGGGCAGAGCACAGGTGGGTTTTAAGGCACTGAAGCTCTTCCATATGGTACTGTCATGATAGATAAATGATATTCCTCAAAACCCATAGAAATTTGCAACACCAAGAGTGAACCCTACTGTAAAGCATGGACTTTAGTTAATAACAATAATGTATCAGTATGGTTTACTAATTGGAACAAATGTACCACACTAATGCAAAATGTGAACAATAAGAGAAAATGTGTGTGCTGAGAGGGGAGTGGTGTAATGTGAGAACTTTCTGCATATAGTTCAATTTTTCTATAAGTCTAAAATTGTTCATTAAACATAATCTATTAGACAGGCATGGTGGCTGACACCTGTAATCCCAGCACTTTGGGAAGCCAAGGCGGGCAGATCACCTGAGGTGAGGAGTTCGAGACTAGCCTGGCCAACATAGTGAAACCCTGTCTCTACTAAAAATACAAAAAATTAGCCAGGCATGTTGGGGCACACCTGTAGCCCCAGCTACTCAGGAGGCTGAGACAGGAGAATCACTTGAACCTGGGAGGCAGAGGTTGCAGTGAGCCAAGATTGCACCACGGCACTCCAGCCTGGGTGACAGAGCAAGACTCAGTCTAAAAAAAAAATAGTCTATTAATTTAAAGTAAAGAATAATGCATCAGTGGGCTGTAGAAAAAGTCTCAGATCTGATGAAAACTATAGGCCATAGATTCAAAAAACTCAACACAACTCAAGCACAAGAAACAAAAAAAATAAACCATGGTACATTATAAATTACTTAAAACCAATGATTAAAAAGAAAACACAAAAAACAGTCAAGAAACACACATAATGTGCAAAGGAACAGATTAGAATGGCAGCCAACTCCTCGTCAGAAATAATGCAAGACAGAAGGCAGTGGATCCACATTTTTCAAGTACCAACAGAACAACGCTGTCAACCTAGAATTCCATGCCTAGCAAAAATATCTTTCAAAAAACAAAGTAAAGACATTTTTAAACATATGGAGGTTGAAGGAACTTATCACCAGCAGACCTGCTCTACAAAATTTCTGTATACCTTTATATATATTTTTTTCTTTTCTTTTTTTTTCTTTTTGGCATGGTCTCGCTCTGTCACCCAGGCTGGAGTGCAGTGGTGCAATCTTGGCTCACTGCAACTTCCACCTCTCGGGAAGAATCAAGAGATTCTCCTGCCTCAGCCTCCAGAGTAGGTGGGATTACAGGCATGTGCCACCATGCCCAGCTAGTTTTTCCACTTTTAGTAGAGGCAGGGTTTCACCATGTTGGCCAGGCTAGTCTCAAACTCCTGACCTCAAGTGATCCATCTGCCTCGCCCTCCCAAAATGCTGGGATTACAGGCATGAGCCACCATGCCTGGCCACTTTTCAATATTTTTAATACACATATAATCATATACAAATATAGATACAGAGACATATTTGACCTTTTGGGTCACTGTTTAACAAGCATGTAATAATTGTATCACTTTTCTGAAAATTGCCTTTCTCATTCAATAATACCTGATGGACATCCCTTAATGTCAGTGTTTTCATAGATATACAATACTCTCTGATGCGTATATTCTGTAAATTACTAAATTTCTCTTTAAAAAGAATGTTATTGAGGTCAGCTGTGGCCCAGAGATAAGTTACAGGATAAATAAGGCCATAGCAGCTTTGAATTTTCTTCCTTTTGGTTATGTATGTGTTTATATATATTATTTTCCTCTGCTCTTTTCTTCCATTGTTTTACGTAATAATCACTGATGGTGGTTAACTTTACAACTTAGCTTTTAGATTTAGAACATTTGGGTGGGATTTTGCTTGGACTCAAGTGGGACTTTACGTCACACTGAGATGGGTGCAGCAACTAATGGAACTGTCATCTCGCCTTTCTGGCTGAGCAATGTCATTGGTACAAATTATGGCTGCGTCTTATTGGGAATAAGCATGAGTTGTTTTGTGTGGCAGTTCAAACACGGGTAAAGGAAATCAATGGAAGCGAGTAGGAGGACTGTGCCTACTGTTTACCTTAGTCTCTCGACTCATTGTCTATATTCTGTTCTGTAATGCTGGGGCTAAAACTACATTTCTCAGTCTAGTTTGTGTTGCTGTAACAGAATATCTGAGACTGGATAATTTACAATGAACAGAAATTCATTTTCTTACCATTACGGAGGCCAGGGAGTCCAAGATCCAGGCAACAGCATTTGGCGAGGGTCGCGTTGCCGTGTCCTTTAATGATAGAAGGCAGATGGGCTGAGAAGGGAGGCAGGGCACAGACAAGAGGGGTCAAACTTACCCTTTCATGACAACATTAATTCCGCCCATGAGGTCGGAGTCCGCATGGCCTAATCACCCTCAAAGTTTCCACCTCTTAATACTGTCACACTGGCAGCTCAATTTTAGCACAAGTTTTTTGGAGGGGACAAACACTCAAACCACAGCACTCTGCAAACTGCACTTGCAAGATAGCTGGCTTTTATTACTTGCATTTCCCTTCATAGCAGGCTTCTTATTAGGTTCTGCCAATGGGAGCTCCTAGGAGTTTGAAAGATGAGAAGAGAGGAGCGACTTCCTCATATTCTCCTGTTTCTGTCAATTGGCTCCAGCCCCAGTTGAGTCCCACCCACTTCATGCTGAGCACCAGTGCCAAGGAACCCTGCTCTGAGCACTGCTTGCCTTAGGTTCTGGTAACCTTCCCTCTCTTTTTTTGCACCATCATCCCCAGCCACGGACGGGCAGCTTCTTTAGTTCCTAATATCGGGGTTGTTTCACCTCGCATTTTACCCTTCCAGACTTCCAACACCTATGTAACCAATTCATCTGGTTAAATTCCCTCTGTTTGAATTACCAGTGCAGTTTTTACTTTCCTGTCTGGACCCTGACTGACACAAATCCCATCTCACACTGTGAATCTTAGAGCCTGAGTAACATAAGCCTACTTAACAAATGTCTGACATCACAACCTCAATCAGGGAGCTAAAAGTCAGTTAGCATGGTCCTCCAGTCTATAGATACAGTGAAAAGGGAATGCTCGTGCAACCCCCGTGACAAACAGTTCATGCCTTCTTAGCCCAGTACTGATTGCAGTGGAATTGCATTGCTGAGTACTTACTGAACATCAGCTACCACCTGGCAGTTACATTCACATAGAGAATGTGAGTGTAGAAGCTCTATCATCCCTGTCTGCCTTCAAGGTGCTTTTCACAGGGGAGGTCAATGTTCTCAACGTGGGACAGGTGCATGACAGAGTTATGTGCAAAATAATTTGGGAGGAAGAGGAAGAAAAGATTTACAATATCTCTTCCCTGCACTCACTCTCAGCACTCACCACCCACTCACATACTATGCATTTGTTTACTGCCATAAAATATGGGCTCCATGAAGGAGCATGTTTTATCTGTTTCACTCACGAAATAATTCCCAGTACGTAGCAGAGTGACCAACACATGGTAGGTACTGAAGAAAAATTTTCAAATTAATTAATGAAATTATCAAACAAGTGAACAAAAAGATATGCTTGAAGAGGCTTTGTATAATATTAATACTATATCAATAAAGTGTGAACAATTTAAATAACAGTATATGATAGGAGCCGGGCACGATGGCTCACGCCTGTAATCCCAGCATTTTGGGAGGCCGAGGTGGTTGGATCACCTGAGGTCAGGAGTTCGAGATCAGCCTGGCCAACATGGTGAAACCCCGTCTCTACTAAAACACCAAAAATTAGCTGGGCGTAGTGGTGGGCGCCTGTAATCCCAGCTACTCAGGAGGCTGAGACAGGAGATTCGCTTGAACCTGGGAGGGAGAAGTTGCAGTGAGCCAAGATCGTGCCATTGCACTCCAGCCTGGGCAACAATAGTGAAACTCTGTCTCAAAAAAAAAAAAATATATATATATATATATATATATACACACACACACACACACAGGATAGATTATATAACCTTTGGAAATATTTTGAGCCATGCATCCATTAAAAATAAAACTCTGGGTGGCTCGTGCCTTTAATCCCAGTCTTTGGAAGGCTGAAACAGGTGGATCCCTTGAACCCAAGAGTTTAAGATCAGCCTGGGCAACATGGTGAAGCCCTGATTTACAAAAAATAAAAAAATTTGCCGGGCATAGTGGCATGCACCTATAGTCCCAGCTACTCCGGTTACTCAGAAGGCTGAGGTGGGAAAAATCACTTGAGCCTGGGAGGTCAAGCCTGCAATGAGCCGTGATTGAGCCACGGCACTCCAGCCTGGGCAACGGAGTGAGACCCTGTCTCAAAAACAAATGAATAAAAATAAACAAATAAATCAACAAAACTCTAACAATGTGCTTGTGCACACAAAGTTGTTCATGATGTAACATTTTCTTTATTCTTTCTTTCTTTCCTTCTTTTTTTTTGAGACAAGGTCTTGCTCTGTAGCTCAGGCTGGAATGCAATAGTGCCATCTTGGCTCGCTGCAACCTCTGCCTCCTGGGCTCAAGCAATTCTCATGCCTCAGCCTCTCTAGTAGCTGAGACTACAGACACATGCCACCACGCCTGGCTAATATTTGCATTTTGGGTAGAGACAATGTTTCACCATTTTTCCCTGGCTGGTCTGGAACTCATGGGCTTAAGTGATCTGCCCATCTTTGCCTCCCAAAATGTTAGGATTACAGGTGTGAGTGACTGTGCCTGGCTGATGTCGCATTATTTATTTATTTATTTGAGACAGAGTCTCGCTGTGTCACTAGGCTGGAGTTCAGTGGCGTGATCTCGGCTCACTGCAACCTCCACCTCCCATGTTCAAGCCATTCTCCTGCCTCAGCCTCCCGAGTAGCTGGGACTATAGACATGCCACTAAGCCCAGCTAACTTTTGTATTTTTAGTAGAGACGGGGTTTCACCATGTTGGCCAGGCTGATCTCGAACTCCTGACCTTAGGTGATCCACCCACCTTGGCTTCCCGAAGTGCTGGGATTACAGGCGCGAGCCACTGCACCCAGCCAGCATTATTAAGTAAAGAAAAAAAGCTCAAAAGAAAAGTTTGCTGTCCAAAGTTCATTCCTTTTTTCTAGGAACAGCACCAAAACTTGTTTCTAAGAACCACCTCTTTCCATCTTCACCACATGGCTGGTGGTTTGGCTTCTCAGGAGTGTCCCCTTGCATAAGCCAGTCAGCACATCCCACCCAACTGGCCACATCTGTGGCTATGGCACCCAATTATGAAAAATAAGATTGCAAGAGTTTCCTGAGGCTTCTGTAAAAAAGAAAATATGTTTCTTCTTAAGGAGCCACTCAGGATCCTCTCTTGCCCCGAGTGGTACAGAATGATGACAGGTACTTTGCTGCCATGTTTGATGGTTGGGGACAGTGGACCCAACAGCTCAGAGAGCAGAGTGAAGAGAAAGAGAAACCAACTCATTCAAGCCACTTATTCTTGTCTCCCAGAAGGTAACCCTGCTCTGGAGTTTCAGTTTGGTAAGTCTATGCATTCTATTACTGCTTGGGTCCAGACGAATTGAGTTTCCTGTCATTTGGGATTAAAGGAGTCTGGGCTGATATGCAGAGCATGATTCCAACTTGATTTTCTAAACATATTTTAAATATACAATCAAAATTTTAGAAGTATCATCAAAACCCACTATTTTCACCTACCAATCCACTCCTCAGTGTCCAAGCGTTTGCTTTTATTCCTCCAAGAAATAGCTGTGGCAGCCAGTGAGATTCATTTATACACAAATGGAAAGAGAGTTTCCAGATAAATCCTGCAAGAGATCACAGTGGCTTGAGCATGGTCGTGGTGGATGCGTGAGAGAGAGTGATGCGGAGTGTGTAGGAAAGGTCAAAAAGAATGTTGAAGAAAAGGTTAACAGTGGTTGTCTTGGTTAGTATATTGCTTTGTTTTTCTTTTTACTTATTTGTATTTTCTAAGCTTTCTAGAATAAACTTGTATTTTCTGGGTCATATTTCTGGGTCTCTGCCCTAGCTCACAGGATGGATATCATTATTGACATGATATCAATATAATTTTAATCTCAACCTAAGATAATACAGTACTCTGAGTTCCTAATTCTGTTTGGTTAAGTTGCAAATTCTTAGAAGTTACAACATGACTGGGGGGTTTTGCTAAATAGACTGAACAAAGCAAGAGACACAGATTGGGAGGTTTTGCTAAATAGACTGAACAAAGCAAGAACCTAGACTCTAATTCCAGGTTTTCTGTTCCACTCTAGCTTCAGACTTTACTCCTAATTTTTATTAATGTGAACATCTGAGCACACCAGAAAGAATAATAAGAACCACAGAGAAAGAAGAGTCCTCTAGAAGAATGATAATATCTTCTACATCAGAAATAGGAGCACTAGTATTATAGCATCTGGTAAAGTCATGAGGAAAGATCCTCCAAATAAGGGCTGTCCCAAACTATCTGCAGTTATGCTTTCCAAGCTTCCTGGTGTTGGCCCCATGTTTGGGGTGTACCAGGAGAGAGTGAGGGGTTCCAAGGGAAGGCCGGAGGTGCTGGGGATCTCAGGCATCATAAGTAACAATGACAAAAACACGGATGTGCAGAAATCAATAAGCCGAGACTCACTCAGGAGGCTTTGAGAAGCCAGTCGGTGCCTATGGACCAGGCTGAACATCTGTCAGGCAAACAAAAAGCAAACAGAGAAGAACAAAGGAGAGTGGGATTATTTTCACTCAAGTTCTTCTTCAGGCTCAGCAGGTGACATCCAAGCTGCTTGGCCTTCCTTCCTTCAGACACTGAACCTCCATGGAGGGTATGCTGCCCAGAAAACTCCAAACCAGCAACCCCAGCACAAAAGAAGGACGAAAACAAAGTGCAGATGGAAAATTCAGGCAGAGCCACACTGTGGCCATGTCAAAACTTCGCACATCCTCGCTAATTTCCACAGAACCATTTTGTTTGAGTGGCAGAACCATCAATCTCCAAGGGGCGTATAAGTCCAGTTAATCGAACTCTTACTCCACCGCTTTTTCATTCTTAAGGCCTGAAGTTGGAGAAAAGGAGGAAAGCGGAGCAGCCATGGGTCTTTGCAAAACGAACAGAGCTCAGAGATAGCGAGATCCCAGGCACAGGCGCAGCCATTAGTAACAAAAACAGCTCACAGTGGGGAAGTCCATGCTATGCTACGTGCCAGCTTCTCTTACTGCCTTTAGTCTTCACCCAGCTGCTATGAGGTAGATTCTGCTACTATCCAGACCTTTGTGCACACTAGAGACACGAGGTGTCCCCTGGGGTTGGGAGTGGGGCTGCCACAAGTCTTCCCTAATCAACAGATGACAAAACTGCTCAGGAATTAGCCCAAATTCCCACAGCTGGTATGTGACTAGGTTATATTGCATTACAAACCTACCAACAAAATTAAGATCACCAAGTAATATTTATAAGGTGGCTTGGGGGTCAAGTTTTATGGGTTAAGTTTAGACACACCCATCACAATGATTTTTAAATATGTCCACAAATTCTTTGATATTCTTCCCTTCAAAAGGCAGTCTAATTCCTTTCCCCTTAAGCGTGGCAGTGCTTCACAACTCACTTCATACAAATCGAACATGAAGCAATGAAGAGGTGTCACTTGTCATAAGAAAGCATGTGTACCCTGCTCACTTTCTTGGGTCACTTGCTCTGGGGGAACCCAGCTGCCACTCAAGCAGCACTATGGAGAGTCCTTGTGGTGAGAAGCTGAAACCCCCACCCAGCAGCCAATACCAACTGGCCAGGCATGGGATTCAGCCATTTTAGAAGCAGATCTTCCAACCAGGTCAAGGTCAAGGTCAAGCCTTCAGACGACTTCAGCCCCAGCTTCATGACAGTGTCCTAAGAGACCCTGAGCCCGAACTACCCAGCAAAGCTACACTTACAGACTGTGTTAGAGGATAACTGGTTATTGATTAAACCATTTAATTTGGGGGGTGATTTGTCATGCATCAGTAGATAACTAAGACATCCACCTTTATCTACCTTATGCCTATTATGAGATACCACAATTGCCAAGGCTGAAATTTAACGTAAATGCCCTCTCCCTCTCGGTGAAACCAGAGACTCGCAGGCACTGTGGAATGACAAAGCTGACAAAGCTGTTCCCCAAACTCACCTCACTCTCCCAGGGCACAGCTGGACTGCACTTCTCAGCCCCCTTGCAGTTGGGTGCAATGGGACTGAGGTACCGTCAGTGGAATATGGGCCAAAGCGTTTATACTGCTTCCAAGCCTGACTCATAAAACCTTCCCAGGTGGCCTGCTATAAACTGAATGCACCCCAGAATTCACATGTTGAAGGCCTAATCCCGGTGTGACCATGTTTGGAGATAGGGCTTTTAGGAGGTAAAGTTAAATGAGGTCAAAAGAATAGCGCCGGGAGCCAATAGGATAGGTGGCCTTACAAGAAGAGGAAGAGAAGTGTTTCTCATTCCACATGCACACACCAAGGAAAGGCCAAGTGAGGACACAGCAAGAAGGCAGCCATCTGCAACCCAAGGAGAGAGCCCTCCCCAGAGCCTGACCCTGCTGATGCCTTGATCTCAGACTTCCAGCCTCCAGAACTGGGAGAAAATAAATTCCTGTTGTTTAAGTCACCCAGTCGTCTACGGTATTTTGTTACGGCAGCCTGAGCAGACTAAGACAGATACTCCATGTTCCCTCTTTTCCAATCTGCCTGCTGGATATTGAGACTCAGGATAACCTTGGAAATCACACATGGAAGGTGGCAGAACCCCCATCAGCTTGGGTGCCTGAATGTCTACATGGAGCAGAGACCTACCACCACCACTGCTATAACCACTCATCAGGAACTCCTACCATGAGCTTCACAAGAAAGAAACTTCTATTGTGTTTTGCCACTAAAAGTTCAGGTTTGTTCATTATGGTAGCTAGTATTCTGTAACTAATACCTGTTACATTCATTGTGTTAATTATATCAGAGTTTCTTTGTATGTATGCTAACATTAGGGAATTAATTTATTTCACTAGTCTGTAGTTTCAACTCCCGCAGACTGACTCAGAAAACAATGATATACAACTGCTTTTGGTGGGGCCAGTTTCTTGTTCAGGATAATGCATTCCAGTGCCTATATGAGCCCAGGGCTGTGGTTTTGGGGGTGCCTGTTTGACTCTAATGGATGCCATCAGACAACTCTTGTTCACAGGGTGGGAAATCTTCACTTTTCAGTGAAATCTTTGAATGCTGGGTTAGAGACAAGGCACATGCAGGGTTGTCTAGTAATGCTAGAATACTAGGTATTCTAGTAATGTTTGCCATGCTTTCTCTCTTTCTGAAAGATATTAATCTCCTTCTACATCCAGGGCACATTAACACACTGTCCAAAATTCCCAAGGGGAATAGAACTTTCTTTCCCCTGTCATTGGGAAAGCCAAATTTTCCCATAGAATTCAGTATAGTGTTTGCTTACATGGATTACGGTGGTTACCATTTCCTAATCCCTAACCTGCAGGTCAAAAATCCAGGTATATACAAATGCATTACTTGACTTATGTGCCTCAGTTCTCTTTTTTTTTTTTTTGACACAGAGTTTCACTCTGTCACTCAGGCTGGAGTGCAGTAGTGCTATCTCAGCTCACTGCAACCTCCATCTCCCAGGTTCAAGCAATACTCCTGCCTCAGCCTCCCGAGTAGCTGGGATTACAGGTATGCACCACCATGCCAGGCTAATTTTTGTATTTTCAGTAGAGATGCGGTTTCACCATGTTGGCCAGCTGGTCTAGAACTCCTGACCTCAGGTGATCTGCCCCCCTGGGCTTCACAAAGTGCTGGGATTACAGGCCTGAGCCACTGTGCCTCGTCAGTTTTCTCATCTACACAGTGGGCATAATGATAGTATCTACCTCAAAGGAGTGTTGTGAAGATTGCGTTGGATAATATGTGTCAATCATGGATCATAGTGACCAATGCACAATATCAGTAAGTCATGACTATTAATGTCACTATGGTGATAGTGAAAGTGATTGCTACTACCCCTGCCAAGGAATAAAAGATCCCAGGCTCTGGGAAAAGTCCTACATTTCATTCCCATTTACTGGAGGAGCCCCCAGGACAGCCCTTTAACCTGGGCATTGGATGCCATTGGCCCAGGCCTTCTTGCAATTCTCTACCTGGCTACTGGTTCTACTGGCCACCTCAGACCTCTAGCCTGTGACAGCACAGCCACCCTCTCCCTGGCAGACATGCCACTCACAAACAGGGCCCCAAGGGGCCCAGAGGGGACAGGGCTCTGCAAGACTCACTTTCTTCCCAGATGAGACTGTTGAATCCAAGTAAATGGGGCTGTGCTCCAGGAACTTGTGGGACTCCTTTGTCTAGAGTCATACACCTGAGCAGCCTCCCTGGTCCCATGAAGGTACTACTCCATCACCCACCCTTAATTCCTAGCCCTGCTCTTTGTGCCTATTTCTAATGAGGACCAGGAGGTAAGGAGGAGAGGAGAAGGAGGTGAGGAGGAGGGGGGGAGGAGAGGAGGAGAGGAGGTGAGGAGGGGAGGAGGAGGGGAGGAGAGGAGGAGGAGGGGAGGAGGGGAGGAGAGGAGGAGGAGGGGAGGAGAGGAGGAGGAGGGGAGGAGGGGAGGAGAGGAGGAGGAGGGGAGGAGGGGAGGAGAGGAGGAGGAGGGGAGGAGGAGGGGAGGAGGGGAAGAGGAGGGGAGGAAGAGAGGAGGAGAGGAGGAGGGCAGGAGGGGAAGAGGAGGAGGTGAGGAGGGGAAGAGGAGGAGGTGAGGAGGAGGGGAGGAGAGGAGGAGAGGAGGTGAGGAGGTGAGGAGGAGAGGAGGAGGGGAGGAGAGGAGGTGAGGAGGGGAGGAGGAGAGGAAGGTGAGGAGGATGGTGGACATGTGAGTACTGAGGCTCCCGGATCTCAGAATCCATGAAAGGCGGATTTGTAGCTGCTCCTCTTCCTCACACCTGCCAGTCACCATGTCCTGCAGATCTGCCTCCTAAGCACCTCTCAATTCACCACTTTTCTCCACTATAACTCTCTTTTTAATATTTATGTATTTATTTATTTATTTTGAGACAGGGTCTCACTGTGTTTCCCAGGCTGGAGTGCAGTGGCGCCACCTTGGCTCACTGCAACCTCTGTTTCCCTGGTTCAAGCGATTATTCTGCCCCAGCCTCCCGAGTAGCTGAGATTACAGGTGCGTGCCAACACGCCTGGCTAATTTTTGTATTTTTAGTAGCCATGGGGCCTCGCCATGTTGGCCAGGCTGGTCTCGAACTCCTGACCTCATGATCCACCCGCCTCGGCCTCCTGAAGTGCTGGGATTACAGTGTGAGCCACCGCGCCCGGCCGCTTTTTTAGAACCCAGCCTTGGTTCTGACTTGGTATCTCTTCTTCCAGCTGAACTTGAACAACTGCTGGAATGATGGATCAAAATCACTAGTCTCACCACTCATCCCCCTGCTTGAAATGCTTGGTTGGCTTCCTGAAGCCTTCAGAATGAAGTCCAGGGCTCTCCATCTGCCCTCTCCTCATTCTCCTTTGCAAAATGTTACTGATCTTCCTACAGCTGGGGAGCTTCCAGCTGCCACAACAAGGCCACATGCACTGCTGAGCATAGAGGTTGCCAGACGGCTGTTCCTGCTCCTGCTCTTTTAGTCTCTCCTGCTGAGCCCTCAGATGCTGGTGTGCCCAGGTTCTTTATGGCTCTTCTCTCTTCCCCAGGAATTTCACCCAGACCCAAGCTTTAAATCTACAACAATTCAGCACCTAAATGGCTGTTTTCAGTCTATTAATCTGCCATTCACTTCCTCTTTCATTTATTAAATAAATCACCAAAGATTTATGGGGTTTCTTGCATACCAGGAAAGAAAGGGTAGGAAAAAAAGACCACATATAAAGTATTGAATAGTCTAATGAAGAGAACAGAACAATCACATAAGCAACAACAGAAAGACACTAAATGCCATAAGCAAGTTACATACAAGATCTGTGGAAGTTGGGAGAAGGCAGAAATTGTTTTATCGGTAGCATCAGGAAGGGTTTCTTGAAGAGGGAAGTTCATTCACTCAGCAGAAATTTATTGGACACCCACTATGTCCCAGGCACACAGGCATTTAGGAGGGACCCAAAAGGGTGAATCGAATTTTGACTGGGTTGGAGGAACTACAGAGGGGTGGTGAAAAGGAGGATGGGGTTGGAGGAATTACAGAGCGGTGGTGAAGAGGAGGATGGGGTTGGAGGAACTACAGAGCGGTGGTGAAAAGGAGGATGGGGTTGGAGGAATTACAGAGCAGTGGTGAAGAGGAGGATGGGGTTGGAGGAACTACAGAGCGGTGGTGAAGAGGATATGGGGTTGGAGGAACTACAGAGCGGTGGCGAAAAGGAGGATGGGGTTGGAGGAATTACAGAGCAGTGGTGAAGAGGAGGATGGGGTTGGAGGAACTACAGAGCGGTGGTGAAGAGGAGGATGGGGTTGGAGGAACTACAGAGTGGTGGTGAAGAGGATATGGGGTTGGAGGAACTACAGAGCGGTGGTGAAAAGGAGGATGGGGTTGGAGGAATTACAGAGCAGTGGTGAAGAGGAGGATGGGGTTGGAGGAACTACAGAGTGGTGGTGAAGAGGATATGGGGTTGGAGGAACTACAGAGCGGTGGCGAAAAGGAGGATGGGGTTGGAGGAATTACAGAGCGGTGGTGAAGAGGAGGATGGGGTTGGAGGAACTACAGAGCAGTGGTGAAGAGGAGGATGGGGTTGGAGGAACTACAGAGCGGTGGTGAAGAGGATGGGGTTGGAGGAACTACAGAGCGGTGGTAAAAATGAGGATGGGGTTGGAGGAACTACAGAGCGGTGGTGAAGAGGAGGATGGGGTTGGAGGAACTACAGAGCGGTGGTGAAGAGGAGGATGGGGTTGGAGGAACTACAGAGCGGTGGTGAAGAGGATGGGGTTGGAGGAACTACAGAGCGGTGGTAAAAATGAGGACGGGGTTGGAGGAACTACAGAGCGGTGGTGAAGAGGAGGATGGGGTTGGAGGAACTACAGAGCGGTGGTGAAGAGGAGGATGGGGTTGGAGGAACTACAGAGCGGTGGTGAAGAGGAGGATGGGGTTGGAGGAACTACAGAGGGGTCGTGAAAAGGAGGATGGGGTTGGAGGAACAACAGAGCGGTGGTAAAAATGAGGATGGGGTTGGAGGAACTACAGAGCGGTGGTGAAGAGGAGGACGGGGTTGGAGGAACTACAGAGAGGTGGTGAAGAGGAGGACGGGGTTGGAGGAACTACAGAGCGGTGGTGAAGAGGAGGATGGGGTTGGAGGAACTACAGAGCGGTGGTAAAAAGGAGGATGGGGTTGGAGGAACTACAGAGCGGTGGTGAAGAGGAGGATGGGGTTGGAGGAACTACATAGGGGTCGTGAAAAGGAGGATGGGGTTGGAGGAACTACAGAGCGGTGGTGAAGAGGAGGATGGGGTTGGAGGAACTACAGAGCGGTGGTGAAAAGGAGGACGGGGTTGGAGGAACTACAGAGCGGTGGTGAAGAGGAGGATGGGGTTGGAGGAACTACAGAGCGGTGGTGAAGAGGAGGACGGGGTTGGAGGAATTACAGAGCGGTGGTGAAGAGGAGGATGGGGTTGGAGGAACTACAGAGCGGTGGTGAAGAGGAGGACGGGGTTGGAGGAATTACAGAGCGGTGGTGAAAAGGAGGACGGGGTTGGAGGAACTACAGAGCGGTGGTAAAAATGAGGATGGGGTTGGAGGAACTACAGAGCGGTGGTGAAGAGGATGGGGTTGGAGGAACTACAGAGCGGTGGTGAAGAGGATGGGGTTGGAGGAACTACAGAGCGGTGGTGAAGAGGAGGACGGGGTTGGAGGAACTACAGAGCGGTGGTGAAGAGGAGGATGGGGTTGGAGGAACTACAGAGCGGTGGTGAAGAGGATGGGGTTGGAGGAACTACAGAGCGGTGGTGAAGAGGAGGACGGGGTTGGAGGAACTACAGAGCGGTGGTGAAAAGGAGGATGGGGTTGGAGGAACTACAGAGCGGTGGTGAAGAGGAGGATGGGGTTGGAGGAACTACAGAGCGGTGGTGAAAAGGAGGATGGGGTTGGAGGAACTACAGAGCGGTGGTGAAGAGGGGGACGGGGTTGGAGGAACTACAGAGCGGTGGTGAAAACGAGGATGGAGGGGCTGAGGGAATAGTAGGTAAGGCAGCCAGCAAAGTGAATTGGTTCTATCTTCTGACAACAGGGCCCTGGTTGTCCTCTCAGAAACTACTGCTTCCTCTTCACATAACTGGAGAAAGCTGACCTTTAGTCCCAGCTCCAGGACTGGGTCCTCAGTGGCTTAAGTCAATCAGCATTTCCCATCTTCCTGATCAGAGCCATTACTTCAGGGACAGGCTTGTAGCCCAGTTAGAATCAATGATGTTATAATACACAAGAGGCAAATACACAAGGCAAACCAGATAAATGAAGGAAAACTTGGATTCAGTGACTGGACCAAGTCTCGCCTGAAGTCGCTTTATTGTTTAAGCCATTTTTAGTTGGGTTTTTCTGTTACCTGTAACCTACAAAGTCCTGTAGACACAGTGAATCAAGATGTTGAGGCAGGAAAGCAGGGGAAGTCCAAGAAACTACAGGTTGTTCTAGAAGTTAAGCAACCAACAGGAGATAAATCTGCAAAGATAGATTTTTAAATCATTGTAATAACTCTTTAAATGTAATAATAGCAGCTATTATTTATAGTGACCACTTATTTCATGTTAGGTATTCTTTTAGGTTGTATATGTTAATTGATTTACTTGGTCCAATGAAATAGATGCTACCATTATCCCTCCTTTTTAACAGATGTGGAAACTGAGGCATTGGATAGATTGACTTATCCAAGGTGGCACAGTTACTGAATGACAAAGCCAAGATTCACATCCTGTCTGAACTCTTAAACATTATGCTGTTGTTTGTAGTTTTCAGTGAACTGTAAGAAGCTAAAAGCTGTAATCTTACAAGCTTTGGGGTCAGATTCAACTTCTTCCACTTTCTAGCTAGCATGACTTTGGAAAAGAATTTAACCTCTCTGAGTCCCAGGTTCTCCATCTATGTGACAAAACAGAGTTGCTGTCTGCAATGAAATAATGATGGAAAGAGCCCAGCACCACAGCGAGCACACAGCCAGGCTCCACTGCCTTCTCATGTTCCTGCCTCCTGCTGGGCCAACTCATTGTCCTGGATTCTGGGCCGGTTGGGTTAACATGAAGCTCCTTTCTTACCTTTGTTGACCTACAGTGGCTAACAAAACCCAGTTGCAGACCCGGGAGGAGCAAGAAGCACTTTCCTTTTATGTCTGCAGCCCTAAGTAATCCTCCTCCCAGAGTCTCCCAGAGAGGAGAGACTGTCAGCTGTGCCCCTCCCCTTAAGCCCACTGCTCTGTTTGGCTCTTGCTCATAGACATATGGCAGGGGCTTTGTCTTCAAATATGTCTGCTTTCAAGTTGAATACAACCATTGTCTGAGCCTGGGCCCTCCAGGAATTTACTGATGAGGGCAGGTTGATGACGGCACAGAATTTCAGTTGAAACTTTCCAGTTGGCTGGTTGTCAGCAGCTGAGATGGCCAGGGAGCTGACCTGGGCGAGATTCCCAAACTACCCCTCTTTTTTTTTTTTTTTTTTTTGAGATGGAGACTTGCTTTGTCGCCCAGGCTGGAGTACAGTGGCTGGATCTCTGCTCACTGCAACCTCCACCTCCTGGGTTCAAGAGATTCTCCTGCCTCAGCCTCCCAAGTAGCTGGACTACAGGTACGTGCCACCACACCTGGCTAATTTTTGTCTATTTAGTAGAGACAGGGTTTCGTCATTTTAGCCAGGCTGGTCTTGAACTCCTGACCTCAGGTGATCTGCCCACCTCGGCCTCCCAAAGTGCTGGGATTACAGGTGTGAGACACCACACCTGGCCTGAACTGCCCCTCTTGTGAGGAAGGTCCTGGACACTGTCCCCCACCTAGTCTGAAGACCCTCTTGGACATGTGGAGGCCCAGGGCATGGCTGTAAGGCTGGGGAGTGGAGTTGGGGTAGCCCACAGCTAACATGCGTGAACAGAATGAAGGGGGTAGCAAAGCAGGCAGGACCCACTGCATGGCTGCCCCAGGGCCTGAGTGACCAGGACACCCCAGGTGAAACAGAGTGGAATCTTGCTGCGGGCCTTCCTCTAACTTTTTGTTCTCGAATAGTCTTTGAGATTTATAGGGTAGTTGCAAAGATAGTACAGAGTTTCTATATATCCTCCACCCAGCTTCGCTAATGTCAAAATTCTGTGTAACCTTGGTACATGTACCAAAACTAAGAAATAACATTGGTTCTGTGAGTCCATAGATGGTAATTAATAAACAAATAAATACAATTAAAATAAATAAAAATTAGCATAGACACGTGTCAAAACTAAGAATGAACATTGGCATATGTATCAAAACCAAGAATGAACATTGGCACGTGTATGAAAACTAAGAGTTTATGTTGACATTTGTATCAAAACTAAGAATTAACATTAGCACATGTATCAAAACTAGCAGTTAACATTGGCACATCACCACTACTAAGCTCCAGACCATATTCAGATTTCACCCGTTCTTTTGCCCCAGGACACATCCAGGACCCTGTGCTGCATTTAGTTGTTATGCCTTCTCAGGTACTCTGGTCTGTGACAGTTCCTCAGTCTTTCCTTGAATATCCCGTGAATTGGGTTTGTCTGTTGTTTCCTCATGATTAGATTGAGGTTGTGGGCTTTGGGGAAGAATGTGAGCTGCCCTTCCCAGGATAGCAATGTGACTTGGGTGATGTTAGCCTTCATCTCCTGGTTGAGGTGGGTCTGCCAGGTTTCTCCACTGTAAGTAACTAGTTTTTCTATTTAACATTCTGTTCTAAAGCCACTAAATCCAGCCCACACTCAGGGTTGGCGTGGAGAGGGAGCGAGGAAGGACTCACATGTATTGTTTGGAGTGCAGAGGCTTTTGAAAGCAAAAGATGTCTGTTTTGGGTGCCCCAGCTCAGACCACTGCTTTAGAGAGAGTTTCCATGAGGCTTGGGGCCCTTCTGTGGGCTCACGTTTCTTCAGAACAGCTAATTCTGAACTTTGGCAATCCTGATTTGAGCACTGTAGTGCCACCGGAGAGCTAATGAGAGACAGACAGAGAAGGTATGGCACGTGGAGCCATCCCCTACCCTCCCCCGGAGGGCGTACCATAGTGTGAGTGGAAAAGCCTGTTCTCCAAAGCACCTTCCCTGCTGGGCCCGGCTAACACAGGCCCTCAGCCCACTCCAGATCCCTCCCTGCTGGCATTCCCTGAAATCTGTCCCTGACCGTCAACCCCTCAGGAAGGTGGCCCTTCCCTACAAGACCCAAAGACCCCTGCATGACACTTAAGGCCTTCCAGGAAGCCTCCTGGCCTGTAGGCCCTTGAGACCCCCACTGGACCCTCCCTTTCTGTCCTGTTTTGTTTTCTGACTAAGCTTATCTCTCAGTTGTGGAACTGCAGTGCTACCTGGGGTGGGATGAGGGTCCCAATGAGAGAAGGGTCTGAAAACCTTAACCACCCAGAGTGGGCTCTCTGGGGTGGGATGAGGGTCCCGATGAGAGAGGGGTCTGAAACCCTTAACCAGGAGTGTTTTCTTCTGGCCTCTTGGTATTATATTTGTCTCCTCAGTCACACCCCCCTGCCCCTGCTGTTTCTGAAACTCCCTGCCCCAGTGGTTCTAGTTCTGGTCTTGGATGACTCCCCACTGTCTGCTCACTGATGGAACCAGATGCCTCACTTTCTGCCTGTGGTTCCTGGTGTCGCTTTGTCTTCTCAGGCACTTCCATGACCAAATCAACAAGTCTCCCTCAAAAACCATGTGGTGTGAGCAGCTGAGGCTCAGAGACAAGAGATCACCTGTCCCATGTCACATGGCCATGTAGCCCCAATGCTTTTCTGCACAGGTAGGAGAGCTGGACCCATGCATTCACTCCACAAGCATTTACTGAACACTACTAAATGCCAGGCTCCCATCTACTAGATCAGAACAGAGAATGTCCGGCCCAAAAAGAACAAGCCCATGACCAAAAAGCAGGCATTGGCAAAGCAGAGTAGTACTGACCTCTCTGAGGAACCGTCATTTCCCAGAGCCAAAGGGAATGAGAGGCATGTCCCATGGCCATCAGGAGAGGGAAATGAGGGATATGTCCCACGGCCATCAGGAGAGGGAAATAAGGAGTATGTCCTGTAGCCATTAGGGGAAGAAAAAGAGGGGCATGCACTGCAGCCTTCAGGAAAAGGAAATGAGAGGCATGTCCTGCAGCCATCAGGGAAGAAAAAGAGGGGCATGCACTGCAGCCATCAGGGGAAGGAAATGAGAGGCGTGTCCTGCAGCCATCAGGGGAAGGAAATGAGAGGCGTGTCCTGCAGCCATCAGGGGAAGGAAATGAGGGACATGTCCCACAGCCATCAGGAGAGGGAAATGAGAAGTATGTCCTGCAGCCATCAGGAGAGGGAAATGAGGAGTATGTCTTGCAGCCACCAGGGGAAGGAAATGAGGGGCATGTCCCACGGCCATCAGGGGAAGGAAATGAGGGACATGTCCCATCCCAGAGCCAAAGGGAATGAGAGGCATGTCCCACAGACATCAGGGGAAGGAAATGAGGGACATGTCCCACAGCTATCAGGAGAGGGAAATGAGGAGTATGTCCTGCAGCCACCAGGGGAAGAAAAAGAGGGGCATGCACTGCAGCCATCAGGGGAAGGAAATGAGAGGCATGTCCTGCAGCCATCAGGGGAAGGAAATGAGGAACATGTCCTGTAGCCATCTGAGGAAGGAAATAAGAGACATGTCCTGCAGCCATCAGGGGAAGGAAATGAGGGCCATGTTCTGCAGCCATCAAGGGAACGAAATGAGGGATGTGTTCTGCAGCCATCGGGGGAAAGAAATGAGGGACATGTCCTGTACCCATCAGGGGAGGGAAATGAGAGGCATATCCCGCAACCATCAGGGGAAGGAAATGAGGGACGTGTTCTGCAGCCATCAGGGGAAGGAAATGAGGGACATGTTCTGCAGCCATCAAGGGAACGAAATGAGGGATGTGTTCTGCAGCCATCAGGGGAAAGAAATGAGGGACATGTCCTGTACCCATCAGGGGAGGGAAATGAGAGGCATATCACGCAACCATCAGGGGAAGGAAATGAGGGACGTGTTCTGCAGCCGTCAGGGGAAGGAGATGAGGGGCATGTCCCACAGCCATCAGGGAAAGGAAATGAGGGACATGTTCTGCAGCCATCAGGAGAAGGGACTGAGGAGCATGTCCTCCAGCTGTCAGGGGAAGGAAATAAGGGAACTGTCCTGCGGCCACCAGGGGAAGGAAATGAGGGACATGTTCTGCCACTGTCAGGGGATGAAAATGAGGGATATGTTCTGCAGCCATCAGGGGAAGGGAATGAGGGGCATGTCTCACAGCAGGGGAAGGAAAAAAGAGGCATGTCCCACAGCCATCAGGGGAAGGAAATGAGGGACATGTTCTGCAGCCATGTGGGGAAGGAAATGAGCGACATGTTCTGCCACCGCCAGGGGATGAAAATGAGGGACATGTTCTGCAGCCATCAGGGGAAGGGAATGAGGGGCATGTCCTACAGCCATCTGGGGAAGGAAATGAGGGACATGTTCTGCAGCCATCTGGGGAAGGAAAAGAGGGACATGTTCTGCCACCATCAGGGGATGAAAATGAGGGACATGTTCTGCAGCCATCAGGGGAAGGAAATGAGGAACATGTCCTGCAGCCATCAGGGGAAGGAAAGGAGGGGCATGTCCTGCAGCCATCAGGGGAAGGAAAGGAGGGACATGTTCTGCAGCCATCAGGGGATGAAAATGAGGGACACGTTCTGCAGCCATCAGGGGAAGGAAATGAGGGACATGTTCTGCAGCCATCAAGGGAAGGAAATGAGGAACATGTCCTGCAGCCATCAGGGGAAGGAAAGGAGGGGCATGTCCTGCAGCCATCAGGGGGAGGAAATGAGGGACATGTTGTGCAGCCATCAGGAGAAGGGAATGAGGGGCATGTTCTGCAGCCATCAGGGGGAGGAAATGAGGGACATGTTGTGCAGCCATCAGGAGAAGGGAATGAGGGGCATGTTCTGCAGCCATCAGGGGAAGGAAATGAGGAACATGTCCTGCAGCCATCAGGGGAAGGAAAGTAGGGGCATGTCCCGCAGCCATCAAGGAAAGGAAATAAGGGACATGTTCTGCAGCCATCAGGGGAAGGGAGTGAGGGGCATGTTCTGCAGCCATCAGGGGAAGGAAATGAGGAACATGTCCTGCAGCCATCAGGGGAAGGAAATGAGGGGCATGTCCCACAGCCATCAGGGGAAGGAAAGGAAGGGCATGTTCTGTAGCCATCAGGGAAAGGAAATGAGAGACATGTTCTGCAGCCATCAGGAGAAGGGAATGAGGGGCATGTTCTGCAGCCATGAGAGAAAGGAAATGAGGGGAATGTACTGCAGCTATCTGGGTAAAATAATAAGGGTCACATCTGGCAGCCATCTGGGGGAAAGGGATAGGATATGTCCTGCAGCCATCTGGGAAAAGGAATAAGAGGCATGTCCTGCAACCAACTTGGGATGGGAATGAGGAGTATATCCTGCAGCCATCGGGGAAGGGAATGAAGGTCACATCCTGAAGCCATCTGGGAAAGGGAATGAAGGGCATGCCCTGCAGCAATGAGGGGTACATCCTGCAGCCATTGGGGCATAGAAATGAGGGGGCATGTCCTGCACCCATTAAGGGAAGAGAATCAGTGGCATGTCCTGCTCCCACTAGGGGAAGGGAATGATGGGCACATCCTGCAGCCATCAGGGGAAGGGAATGATGGGCACATCCTGCAGCCATCAGGGGAAGGGAATGATGGGCATGTCCTGCAGCCATCAGGGGAAGGGAATGATGGGCATGTCCTGCACCCATCAGGGGAAGGGAATGATGGGCATGTCCTGCATCTATCATGAGAAGGGACTGATGGGCATGTCCTGCACCCATCAGGGGAAGGGAATGGTGGGCACATTCTGCCCTCATTAAGGCAAGGGAATGAGTGGCATGTCCTGCCTCCACTAGGGGAAAGGAACGATGGGCCCATCCTGCAGCCATCAGGAGAAGGGACTGACCGGTATGTCTTGCACCCATCAGGAAAAGGGAATGATGGGCACATTCTGCCCCCATTAAGGAAAGGGAATGAGTGGTATGTTCCACACCCATCAGGAAAAGGGAACGATGGGCCCATCCTGCAGCCATCAGGAGAAGGGACTGACTGGTATGTCTTGCACCCATCAGGAAAAGGGAATGATGGGCACATTCTGCCCCCATTAAGGAAAGGGAATGAGTGGTATGTTCCACACCCATCAGGGGAAGGGAATGAGGGGCATGTCCTGCAGCCTTCTGGGGAAGGGAATGTGGGTCACATCCTGCAGCCATCAGGGGAAGGGAATGAAGGGTACATCCTGCAGCTGTCTGGAGAAGGAAATTAAATGCAAGTCCTGCAGCCACCTGGGAAGGGGAGTTGGAATGAGTCCTAGGTCACCAAACAGCAGGCATCAAGCTTGTCCAGCTCCCCTCCAGTCTTCCAAGCAAGCCACAGAAGCTGGTGTCCCACAGGAAGCCACAGAAGCTGGTGTCCCACAGGCCTATGGAGTTTCCAGGGAGGACCTCTGCTGATCTAGAAGGTGGCTTCCTGCCTGCTGAGTGGGAAATCAAGGCTGCCCTTCTTGGTCAGGCTCTCTGAGCACATGCATCATTTACCAGAGCACCAGCGAAAAGCAGAGCAGGAGGCACGAGAGACCTGCAAGTGCTCTGGACAGGGAGTAAGATTTTCTTCTGATCTCATGAAGCTTAATGGAAAAGCAAACACTTGAAAATTATTTTCTAACCCACATACACCACAGCAAGGGAACACATTGGCTTCTACAAGTGTCTAGTTGGTGTGACTTCCTGAGATATGGTACCAACGTCGTAACTCACTGGAGAATATTCAGAGGCCCCCTGAAGGGAGGGAACAAGATCCTTTCTGCTCTTATGCTTAAACCTCTTCTCCCTCACCATCATTGCACTGTGTCTGTGAACATCTGATCACCAGGAAAATATGGCCCTGGATTAAGTCCCTAATGGTCAAATTCTTTAGGCAATTTTTCCCCTTTAAAATAATTAACTGTATTAAAGAATCTGAAAAACAGTAAACAGTTCTGGACATGTGGCCTGTGGAGGATGAAAGAAATGAAGGTTCCTTCTACTGGGGAGGCTTTTGGAGACTACCCTGAAATTGGAACACATCGAGTATCTGGAAGGAAGACCCTAAGGCTCCTGCATTTTGCATGTTGATGGCCGTTGTGTTATGACGTTTTTTTCTGCTCACTTCCTTTTGTTTCTGGAGGTTTGTGCACCCCTGTGGCCCTGGGATCAGTGAAGGAACAGATCTCTGGAGTTTCCAAGTTCTTTTCTAACCATCCTTAGCTTTATTGAGCTAGGGACACAAAAGGACAAGGCGATGGGAGCAGGAGCTCATCTGTGCACATTAACTTCTTGCCCAGTGAAGGCCCCAAAGCAAAGTTTAGCCCCACACTGATGTGAGGAAACCTAATTTCACCCACAAAGAGCCCATGGCCAGCTGACAGGTCAGGGAGGGTTTGTCTTGCTGTGCATGGAGGATCCTGCCAGAGGCGTCCGGCTGAGGTTGTCTCTCTTCAGTGACGTGATCAGACACCTAAGGATTCAGGGCAGGTGCCAAGCCCTGCTGCCCCAGTTGGCTGATGCCTGACGTCTTCACGATGACGCTGGCATGCGGCCAACAAGGAGCACTCGGGGACATAATTCATAAGAGAGCAGCATGCATCTATGTTGACAGAATCGGAGCACTCTGCTCTTCCCAGTCTCTTCAGGTTTAAAAGGGTCTCTCCCCATTAAAGTCTTATTTGAAGTCTAGACTTTAGTCTAAACTTATATATAAAGATTTTAAAGGTTTGTTTGAAGTATAGATAAAGTATAACTGTAAGCTCATGGGACCTGCTGCTGGAGAGTGGAATGGAATGGAGATTTCTCACAAATGAGAATCAGCTCTGGGTCAGAACTCCCACCATGGTAGCTTGAGCCCACTCTCTAGACTGACAGCAGCAGGAGGAGGCAATACTGGAAGAAAAAAAAGGGAGGAATGAGCTCCTCACTCGGTAGCAATACAACAATACTGAAGGTATTATTATTTGTACATCAATTGAAAAGAATAGGAAAAGGAGACTGACTAGTTGCTTAAATTCAATAGTTTTCTATGCTATGGCACACCAGAAAATATCCCAGATGAATTAAAAGACTCACTTTTTAAAACCTAGTGAAAACAGAGAATTATATTTTATTAGTATAGTTTGAAGAAAGCCTTCAACCTATACTAATAAAATATAGAAGAAACAAACCCAGGAGTAACAAAGGAAAATACTGGCAAACTTCATCACATACACACTTAAAACCACCCTATGAGAAAAGCCCACATAAATGAAGTTTCTTTTAAGGTGTCTACTTGAATAAAATATTTGCAAAGTATTTAAGAGGTTAAAAATTAATATGAATAATATATAAATGAATTATTCAAACTGACAAGAAAAAGACAACTCAACAGAAAAATGGGCAAAAAAAAAAACCACAGGCAATTCATAGAAGACAGACAAGATACAAATATATACACAAACATACACATACACATTTATTTTCCAACCTCCTCCTCAACTGTTAGTAAGGGGAAGGCAAGTTTGAGCAAAATAAACAAGTATGCTCATTACTTATAGTAGCTGTGTTTTGTAAAGTCACTGCTGTCAACTGAAGAATCACGAGGTTCATACATTTGGAGAGGAGAGCTTTATTTCTGACAAAGGATTGCACCCTGCAGGCTGGCCATCTTGCAGGCTAGGAAGCAGAAACCAAAAGCAGGCACTTTGAGGGCGGAAAGGCTGGAACAGGGATTTATGCCAAATGGGTTGGCTAAGTACATGTATCTAACAGGTTATTCATGATGGATGGATGCATGCATAGAGAGCAAACATGCATGCATGTCCGTCCACATTCAATCTGGGGTGAGCACTTAACGTTTAAATGCACTAAAATTAGGTCTGTATGTAGAAGATGAAATGGAGGGCGCAGAGGCATCCCGTGTGCAGCCACTGTACACCGGCCAGAAGCAGTCCACGGTCGGTGGTCTCTTATCAGGAAGGAATGCCGGTTCGTCACTGTGTCAAAACCACGGAAGGGGAGTCTGGCAAGTCTTTGGAAAGGGCTGTGGCTTCTGATTGACCCTCGCGTAAGGAAGTCTAATGGCGATTAGCGAGGGAGGGGGTATAACAAGGCGTGTCCAAACTCCCCATTCCATCATGGCCAGGAACTCAGCTTTTAAAATTTCTCTGGCGCCCCCTTGGCCAACAAGGAGTCCATTCAGTCAGCTCAGGGGCTTAGGATGTCATTTTTCTTTTTCAGCACGAACATTGAATTAGTGAACAGTGAACCATCGCTCATGGAGGAAAGACCGCGTTAGGTTCCCGTGAGCCTCAGGACACAGCATCACCCCATCAATATACAACCTTGTTTTATGTATGTTTCTGTTTAAAGACACCTTACTTAGTATATATTGTAGAGTAAGTAACATGACCAACGGCACTGTAACTCATGTCTGAATGAAGCTTATCTAATGCGTGTTTTCTCCGAAAGGCACCTCACAGCCTTCTTGCTCTCAGGAACGCTAAGCAGCACTTCCGCACTGTGCTTGAGGCTATTTTAAACAGTGAAATCACCAACAAAAAGCATAAAAATGCGGCGAAAAAAGTGGCACTAAATAAACTGTGAATGTAGTCCCAGCTACAAGGGAGGCTGAGGGTTCATGCCGGGAGGCGGAGCTTGCGGTGAGGCAAGACTGCGCCACTGCACTCTGGCCTGGGCCAAAGAGCGAGACTCCGTCTCAAAAAATAAAATAAAATAAAAAATAAAAAATAAACTGTGAAAAGAAAACAGTTGCTTACAGTATGAGTTAAAACCAGAAGGCCGAGCATCACCTCATTCAGCTGGGAGCATGTGCACTGAAGACAAACTTTCGCCTCATTCAGCTGGGAGCATGTGCACTGAAGACAAACTTTCACTCATTCAGCTGGAAGCATGTGCTCTGAAGACAAACTTTCACTCATTCAACTGGAAGCATGTGCACTGAAGACAAACTTTCACCTCATTCATCTTGGAGCATGTGCACTGGAGATAAACTTTCACTCATTCAGCTGGAAGCATGTGCTCTGAAGACAAACTTTCCCCTCATTCAGCTGGGAGCATGTGCACTGAAGACAAACTTTCACTCATTCAGCTGGAAGCATGTGCACTGAAGACAAACTTTCACTCATTCAGCTGGGAGCATGTGCTCTGAAGACAAACTTTCGCCTCATTCATCTGGGAACATGTGCACTGAAGACAAACTTTCACTCATTCAGCTGGGAGCATGTGCTCTGAAGACAAACTTTCACTCATTCAGCTGGAAGCATGTGCACTGAAGACAAACTTTCGCCTCATTCATCTGGGAGCATGTGCACTGAAGACAAACTTTCACTCATTCAGCTGGGAGCATGTGCTCTGAAGACAAACTTTCACTCATTCAGCTGGAAGCATGTGCTCTGAAGACAAACTTTCACTCATTCAGCTGGAAGCATGTGCTCTGAAGACAAACTCACTCATTCAGCTGGAAGCATGTGCTCTGAAGACAAACTTTCACTCATTCAGCTGGAAGCATGTGCTCTGAAGACAAACTTTCACTCATTCAGCTGGAAGCATGTGCTCTGAAGACAAACTTTCCCCTCATTCAGCTGGGAGCATGTGCACTGAAGACAAACTTTCACTCATTCAGCTGGGAGCATGTGCACTGAAGACAAACTTTCACTCATTCAGCTGGGAGCATGTGCACTGAAGACAAACTTTCGCCTCATTCATCTGGGAGCATGTGCACTGAAGACAAACTTTCACTCATTCAGCTGGGAGCATGTGCTCTGAAGACAAACTTTCACTCATTCAGCTGGAAGCATGTGCACTGAAGACAAACTTTCGCCTCATTCATCTGGGAGCATGTGCACTGAAGACAAACTTTCACTCATTCAGCTGGAAGCATGTGCTCTGAAGACAAACTTTCACTCATTCAGCTGGAAGCATGTGCTCTGAAGACAAACTTTCACTCATTCAGCTGGAAGCATGTGCACTGAAGACAAACTTTCACTCATTCAGCTGGAAGCATGTGCTCTGAAGACAAACTTTCGCCTCATTCATCTGGGAGCATGTGCTCTGAAGACAAACTTTCGCCTCATTCATCTGGGAGCATGTGCTCTGAAGACAAACTTTCGCCTCATTCAGCTGGGAGCATGTGCACTGAAGACAAACTTTCACTCATTCAGCTGGGAGCATGTGCACTGAAGACAAACTTTCACTCATTCAGCTGGGAGCATGTGCTCTGAAGACAAACTTTTACTCATTCAGCTGGAAGCATGTGCACTGAAGACAAACTTTCACCTCATTCATCTTGGAGCATGTGCACTGAAGACAAACTTTCACTCATTCAGCTGGAAGCATGTGCACTGAAGACAAACTTTCACCTCATTCAGCTGGAAGCATGTGCTCTGAAGACAAACTTTCACTCATTCATCTGGGAGCATGTGCACTGAAGACAAACTTTCGCCTCATTCAGCTGGGAGCATGTGCACTGAAGACAAACTTTCACTCATTCAGCTGGAAGCATGTGCTCTGAAGACAAACTTTCACTCATTCAGCTGGAAGCATGTGCTCTGAAGACAAACTTTCACCTCATTCATCTTGGAGCATGTGCTCTGAAGACAAACTTTCGCCTCATTCAGCTGGAAGCATGTGCTCTGAAGACAAACTTTCACTCATTCAGCTGGAAGCATGTGCTCTGAAGACAAACTTTCACCTCATTCATCTTGGAGCATGTGCTCTGAAGACAAACTTTCGCCTCATTCAGCTGGAAGCATGTGCTCTGAAGACAAACTTTCACCTCATGCAGCTGGGGGCATGTGCTCTGAAGACACAAACTTTTCACTTCTCTGTGCACTTGAGAGGGTTGATTTGAGGGTTACCAATAAATGTTGGTGAGTAGGTAGATTCACAAATAAGAAATCCATGAATAATGAGGGTCAACTAGAGAGAGAGGGAAAGACCTCGCGTGTGGAGAGAAAAAAAATGTGAATATTTGCACCCCAAAGCTTGCCCAGTAGAAGCTGTCAGCCCTTTACTGCGCTTCTCCCTTACATCATGTTTGTTTCAAGCACTGGGGCAGAAACACTGAGACCACGTTGCTGCCTCAGAGGGTTTATTATAATGGAGGAGTCAGATTATACTCAAGTGAACAAATAATTACAGGTTGTGCTTTTTCTAGAACAAAATAATCAGGTTGCTCTGAAAAAGAATACTCAGGCTAGCTGAGAGAGATGTAACCTGTGCTGGAGAACTGAGGGAAGCCGTTGCCAACAGTGTGGAGAAGGGAGAGGGGGCCAGGCTGCCAGCAGCCTGTGGCACGGTGGCTGGAGAAGCCAGCTATGGGCCTATTTGGTTCTGGGGAGAGTAGTGGGGCTGTATGTGAGTGGTTAGTGGAATTTTCACTCTTTATATAACTGTGGGGTATTTTTAATGAAAATATTAATATATTTACATTGCAGAGTATAAATGAAAATATTTAAAATAACAAAGCAAAGCATTTTCCAGTTTCTTTAAGGGTGGCCTCGTGGTCCTTATTGACATAATAGGGAGAGCTTGTTAGCTGTCCATCTCTCATCTGGACACCACAGCAGCCTCTGTACCATTATCACTCTTACTAGCACTATCCTGGACCACTCCCCACAGCAACCAGGATAACAGCTGGCTGTGTGGCTCCTTTCTCTGACTGTCTTGTGGTCTTGAGATAAAAGGTCATCATCTGTCACATGCTCCCCAAGGCCCAAAAGGAGCTGCCTCTGCAAGCCTTCCCCACTCACTGCGCGTTCACGCCGTGGGAGCTGCACGCGCTCACTCTGCTCCGCTGCGCGTTCACGCCGTGTGAGCTGCGGGCGCTCCCTCTGCTCTGCTGCGCGTTCACGCCGTGTGAGCTGCGTGTGCTCACTCTGCCCTGCTGCATGCGTGGCTTTCTCTGCTCTGCATTCTTGTCTGGCACCCTCTCCTGGGGGCCCCTTCCCTGTCACTTCTCCTGCTCTTCCCAAAGCAGTCAACGGAAAATTGACTATTTATACACAAGTGCCCAGTTACAGATTGGTGTAAGCCTTTGATCCATCTTAATCAGCAGCCATAAAAAAGAATGAAATCACATCCTTTGCAACAACATGGATGCAGCTGGAGGCCACTATGCTAAGTGAACTAACTCAGAAAGAGAAAATCAAACACTGCTTGTTCTTGATTATAAATGGGAGCTAACAACAATGGGTACACATGGACATAGAGATGGAAATAATAGACACTGGGAGCTCCAAAAGTTGGGAGGTTGGGAGGGGAGTGAGTGTTGAAAAATTAGCTGTCAGTTACAATGTTCACTATTTGGGTAATGGGCACACTACAAGCCCTGTGCCCGCCAGCATGCAGTATACCCATGTGACAAACATGCACATGTTCCTCAATCTAAAATAAAACCAATGCAAATGCACGCCGACATGTGATTGACTAACTTATTCTACTAGACTGTGGGCTATATCACTTGAGGTCTGTCATTTGTACTGTGGGGTTTACATCAATGATAGAATCTTTAACTTTCTAGTTCAACACTTTTACCAAAGCAACATACTTTCACAAGTTTGACAGTCTCAAATTATTGCCAAAATTTTGCCACCCAGACTCGGATTTCAGAATATGTCTGAATTCATACATTCATTACCAAAATTGTAGATATATATTAACATCATGGGAAACTGAGAAAAATTATAGCTCAGTCATTTCCTCTTGAAACTAAGCTTTACAAAAAGAGAAAAATTTGAGTTCAAATCTAATCTAAAATTTGAATTCAAATGGCAGCTGGCAAAAATCGAGTTTTCTTAGCTCTAAGAATCTCTTCTTATACTACGACTACAATGCTTGAAATGTGCAACCTCTTTGAGCTGGGGCAGTCTGGCTATGGAGACAGGGCAGTCTCCACTCTACCTGTCCCGAACACTGGATCATGTGCGGCCTCATCACCTGCATTCTGATGGCCAGTGAGCATCACTCTCATTTTCCTGCAGGTGCGGTGGGGGTTGTGGGTACTTCGCATCCTCAGTAAGAGAAGACCATGTATGAACTATGAAGCCAATGATCATTGAGACCTCCAATACCTTTCATTCTAAAAAGTCCTTAAGAAGGTGGGATCAGTTAGGCAAGAAAATACCGCCACAACACAAAAGTTTAGACGTGTGAAACAGTGAAGGAACTTGAGTGTTAGAGTTACAAATAGTTTGTTAAGAATATTTATTGAATGCCTATTATACACTTGATACTATGTAGATGCTGGGAATACACTGATATATGGAACACATAGTTTCTTCCCACATGGAATTTATCATCTATTGTCCGAGAGAGATCAAGGAAATTAAAAACTAATAAAAATGCAAATGGAGTAATGTTATAAAGGAGACAAACAGGCTAGGCCACAGTGAACAATGGAGTATGGAACCTATTTCTTCTTAAAAGGAGGACTAGGAAGGTTGCTCTTTGGAGGCGCAACAAGTACTGACAGGTGAGAATGAGGAGCCATGCATGAATGAGCATGCAAGGTTGACACACCAAACTGGCCAAAGCCACTGAGAGAAAATAACTCTATAGGTTCAAGGGAAAAAATGAGGTCAGGGGAGCTGGAGGACGGTGGTCAGTGGGAGAGGGGCATGAAATGAGGGAGGAGAGGCGGCTGAGGGGGAAACACACACAGAGACCACACATGCATTAACTACCTGCAGGAGGGACACACACACACACGCAAAAACCACATATGGATGATTCACCTGGAGGGGATGCACACACAGAGACCACATGTGGATGAGCCATGTGGAGGGTACACACACACACAGGGGCCGCACATGGACAACCCATGTGGATGAGCAACACAACACAATGGAGAAATTGGTATGATTCCATATGCTTTAAGAAGGTCATTCTGGCTGTTTGGTGAGATTGGTGGGGGAATAGCTAGATAAATTAGTGCAGTGGCTATCCGAATGGCCCAGACCTGTGCAGATGATAAGTTAAATGATGGTTACTGAAGACGACAAGATGTGGTTGAGTCTGAGATATGTATGGTAGGTAGAACTGACAAGATCTGTACTGGACTAGATGTAAGGAATGAAAGGAAAGCCATTCAGGTCTATAGTGTGAGCAACTGATGAAAGGGCACATGAAGAAGACTCCTGGATGAACAGATTGTAGGAAAAGCTGGATACCAACATTCACTTTGGGACATGTTTCTATTGGAGAATCTCAGTAGTGATGTTATAGTCATTGAATATTTTAGTCTAGGATTCAAAGGATAGGTTTAGTCCAGAAATATAAATTTAGGACTGATCAGCATATAGATGACATTTAGTATCATGGGGCTGGTTGAAAAGCTAGGGAGAGAGTGGAAGGAGACTGAGCCTTGAGAAATGGCCACAACTAGAAGTTGGCTAGAGAAAAAGAAAGTGTACAGAAAACTGAGTAGCAGCTAATGAAACGGGAGAAAACTTCAGAGAATGTGGCATCACCAAAGCTAAGAGAATAGACTGTTTCAATCAAGAGAATTATCATGCTATTTGGCCACAAGGAGATCACTTGTACCTTGACAAGATCATTTTAGTGTAGTGGGGACAAAAGCCAGATCAGAAAGCAGGAAAGGATGGAAAGAAGTGGGATCAGCATTTATAGACAACATTTATGAGAGGTTTGACTATGAAAAGAATTAGCTAGAGGGTACAATAGCTAGAGGGTAATTAGGGAACAAGGGAGGCTCTCTTATTTCTTTATAATGGGAGGTAATAAAGCATATTAGTTACTGGTGAGGATGATTAAATACTAATGAAAGATCAATAGCACACAACAGAAAGGAAAAGAAAGAAGTTCTAGACAATGACCCCATGAGAGGGAATGGGATCAAAATCTCCTGTGAAGGGTTTGATTTTTGTTAGTAGGGGAGACCTTCTCCAGTTTTATCTGGATGGAATAAAGAGCAAAAGGTGCAGGTAGAATTACAGATTTGGGAGTGAGAATACGAAGGAGGTCTATTATGATATTATAACTTGTTTCAGTAGAGTATCAAGCTATATGGACAGTACTTAAGTGAAAGATGAAGCTGAAAAGATAGGCAGGGGTTATATCATACAGGGCCTTACCTGCCATGGTAAGGAGTGTTTTAGGTGCTAGGAAGCTTTTTAAAAACCAATGAAGGTATAATAATAAGAAAACAAATGACCCATTATAAAAATGATTTAAAACATAATTAGTCATTAGGGAAATACAAATTGAAACCACAATGTAATATTACTGTACACCTAGCAAAATGGCTTTAATAAAACTCTGACAATGTCACATGTTGATGGGAGAGTGAAACAACAAGGACTGCTAACACTGGCAGATATATTAATTATTATATGACAACGATTTTAGACCAACCATCATAAAAACACTTCAGGCTGGGCATGGTGGCTCACAGCTGTAATCCCAGTACTTTGGGAGGCCAAGGCGGGCAGATCACTTGAGGTCAGGAGTTCAAGACCAGCCTGGCCAACATGGTGAAACCCCATCTCTACTAAAAATACAAAAATTAGCCAGGCATAGTGGCACGTGCTACTCAGGAGGCTGAGACGAGAATCACTTGAACCCAGGAGGTGGAGATTGCAGTGAGCCGAGATCACGACACTGCACTCCAGCCTGGGTGACTGGGCAAGACTCTGTCTCAAAAAAATAAATACATAAAATAAAATAAAAATAAATAAAAAAACTTCAACAAGCAATACAAAAACACTTGAAATATATTAGAAAAATAGAAAGTTCCAGCAAATAATTAGAGGATATTAAGAATAACTGAATGGAAATTTTAGAACTGAGACATGCAATAACAACAAAGGTTTTTAAAACTCAGTAGATGGACTCAACAGCAGAATGGAGGGGACAGAGGAAAGAATTGGTGAACAGGGAATTAAAACAGGGAAATAAAATAAAATAAAAAAAGAAATTACCTAATCTGAACTGCAGAAAGAAATAAACAGAGCCTTGGAGACCTACAGGATCACAATCAAAGGTCTAACATTTATGTTATTGGAGTCCCAGAGAGAGGAGAAAGAGGGCATGACTTAAAAAGTAGTCAAACAAATAGTGGATGAATATTTTCTAAATCTGGCAAAAGACATAAATCTACAGATTCAAAATGTTGAGTGAACTCCAAATAGGATAAACCCAAAGAAATCCATGCCAAAGCATGCTATAACTAAACTTTTGAAAACTAAAGACAAAGAAAAAATATTGAAAGCAATGAGAGAAATAACATCTACCTATAAGGGAAAACAATTTGAATGATACGGAATTTCTCATCAGAAACCAGGGAGCCAGAAGGAAGTAACAACATTTTTCAAGTGCTCAAACAAAAGAATTGTCAACCCAGGATTATTTATTCAGAGAAAATATAAAGGTGAATGAAGGGGACTTGAAGATATTTTCAGATGAAAGAACAGTGTAAGAGAATTTGTTGCCAGCCGACCTCCTCTAAAATAATGGCTAAGGGAAGTTTTCTAAACAGATAAGAACTAATAAAAGAAAGAATCTTGGATCATGTTAACCTAAAGGAAAAAAACTGAGGCAAAATTAATATAAGTAGAGAGTTTATCTGGGCTGAAGCTGAGGACTGAAGCCCAGGAGACTCATGCAAGTTGCCTTGATCCATGCTCCAATTAACAGTAACTACAAGTGGTTTGTAAAAGCAAAAAAGAAGTGCAGTCCTTAAGTTGTTTACCAATAATTTACTTTGCTTTATTAAAATAACAAAAGTGATTGGTTGGCTATACATTTTTCTTTGTATCACAAATTCCATGAACATGAAGATTATGGATGAGAGTTACATTGTGCAACTTGTGGTAACATTTTAGGTAATTTATCAGCTAGCCTGGAAACTAGAAGAAAGGGAAAAAAAATCAAAATGCCTTTAAAAACTTGCCCCCAGGTATGGCTGCAGAGGACATGATTAGAGTCTCATGTTTATGTCTCTCTGCGTCTGATACATTTTCCATATCAGGCCAGGCATGGTGTTTCATGCCTATAATCCTAGCACTTTCGGAGGCTGAGGTGAGAGGGTCACTTGAGAATGGGAGTTCAAGACCGCCCTGGGCAACACAGTAAGATCAAGATCCTGTCTCCACGAAAGAAAGAAAAAAAGAAAAGAAGGAAAGATTGATTTAAAAATTACTTGACATGACGGTGCATGTCTGTAGTCCTGGTTACGCAGGAGGCTGGGGCAGGAGGACCACTTGAGCCCATGAGTTCAAGGCTGTAATAAGTTATGATCATGCCACTGTACTCCACTACAGTGTGGGTGACAGAGTAAGGCCCTGTCTCTCTCAAAAAAAAAATTCATATCTCACATTCCTCAGACGCTCTGAGACATGTTCTCAATCATTAGGAAAAAAGAAAGAACAAGGAAAATAGTAAAAATATAGATTAAAAAATACATTTTCCTTCTCCTCTTGAATATTCTAAATTATGTTTGATAGTTGAAGCAAAAATTATAACCCTAACTGATGTGGTTGTAAATACACATGGAGGAAATATTTCAGACAATTACATTAAACATATTATTAATATCAAATATTTATGATTATTAAATTATAAATGAGGAGGGTGAGGTGACATAAAGGAGGTCACCTTTTTTCCTACTTTTCACGGGAGCTGGTAAAATGCTAACACAGATAGACCGTGTTTTGTGTAATAAGTAGAAAAGCGATACCAAGAGATAAACTAAACAGTGCAATACATAAATCAAAGTGGAATTGTAAAACAAAAATATTCAAGAAATATATAGGAAGGTAGGGATAACAGAAAAACAAAACAGAGGGAAATAGCAGAAAATTTAAAAAAAGATGGCAACTTCAGACCTAATGTATCAACAATTTCATTAAATGTAAGTGCTCTAAATAAACCAGTTAAAAGGAAGAGATTGGCAGAGTGAATTAAAGCATGACCCAAATATACACTGTTTATAAGAAACTCACTTCAAATACAATGATACAGGGAGATTGAAAGTAAAAGGATGCTTGTGCTTGCCATTGGTGGACCTGTAGGCAGACCTGCCCAGTCCAGGCCTGCCCACTGTGGCCCCCATTCCACCCCCTAGGGCTGAGCAGGGAGCTCAGACCACTGTGCAATCCAGAATCACCCCATTGCCTGAGGCAACGGTAAGCTTCGGCCACTAAAGAAGGATCAAGTATAGACCCAGCCACGTTGGCTGCTGCTGGCTCTTACCTATAAGTGCCATCTACTGGATTGTAGGTCGAACTGCACAGCCCAATATAAAAGCTGAAAGAAGTGCACAGGGCTATAGAAATAAAGCCAAAAGACCCTACCCAGCATTCTCTACAGTTGCACCCCTAGGGAGGGGGTAAAGGGAAAAGGAAAGAAAACTAATAATACTACTATAGTAAAAGAAAGAAAAAGATAAGAATCCTGGATGAAAATATTCACAAAAATTAGAAGTGTCAACATCTCCAGATGAGAAGGAACCAGCACAAGAATTATGACACCATGAAAAATTTGAATATAGTGATTCCACCAAAGAATTGAACTAGCTTTCCAGCAATGATCTATAACCAAAATGGAAACTCAAAAATGACACATAAAGAATTCAAAGCATGGATTGCAAGGAAGCTGAATGAAATCTAAGACAAGGTTGAAAATCAACACAAAGAAACTTTCAAAGCAATCCACGAAATGAAGAAAGAGACAAACATCTTCCAAAGGGGGAAATCAATTAGACCTTCTGGAATTGAAAACTCACTTAAGAAATTTTAAAAATACAATTGAAAGTTTTATCAATAGACTGGACCAAGCAGAAGAAAGAATTGCAGAGCTTGAAGACCAGTCTTTTGAACTAACCCAGTCATACGAAAATAAAGAAAAGAGAATTTTTAAAGATGAACAACATCTTCAAGAACTAAGAGATTATGCAAATAGACCAAACTTATAAACTATTGGCATTCCTGAGAGAGGATAAAAAGTAAATAATCTGGAAAACATATTTGAGGGAATCATTCAAGAAAATTTCCGTATTCTTGCTGGAGAAGTAGACATGCAGATACAAGAAATCCAGAGAACACCTGTGAGAGACTATACAAAACAAATATCACCAAGGCATAGAGAGTCATGAGACTGTCCAAGGTCAACTCTAAAGAAAAAATCTTAAAGATAGCTACAGAAAAAAGTCAAATCACATACAATGGGAACACTATCAAGCTAACAGTGGACTTTTCGGCAGAAACCTCACAAGCCAGGAGAGATTGGGGGCCTATTTTCAGGATTCTTAAAGAAAAGAAAGTCCAACCAAGAATTTCATATCCCACCAAACTCAGCTAAAAGAAATAAAATATTTTCCCAACCAGCAAGTGCTAAGAGAATTCATTACCGCTAAACCAGACTTACAAGAGATCCTTAAAGGAGGTCTAAACATGGAAGCAATAGAATGATACTGGCTACCACAAAAGCACACTGAAGTACACAGCCTACAGATCCTACAGAGCACCCACACAATAGAAACTACAAAGCAACCAGCTAAGAACTTCACAACATGATTAAAACCTCATATATTAATATTCGTGTTGAATGTAAATGGTCTAAACACCCACTCAAAAGACACAGAGTGGAAAGTTGGATTAAAAAACAAGACCCATCTATCTGCTATCTTCAAGAGACCCATCTCACATGTAACAACACCCATAGGATCAAAGTACAGGGTTAGAGAAAAACCTACCATGCAAATGGAAAACAAAAAAGATTAGGGATCACTATTCTTATATCAGATAAAGTAGACCTTAAGCCAAACAGTAAAAAAGAACAAAGAAGGGCCATTACATAATGATAAAGAGTTCAATTCAACAGGATTCATAAAACAAGTACTTCTAGACAGCCACACAATAATAGTGGGGGACTTCAACACCCCACTATCAGCATTAGACAGATCATAGAGGCAGAAAACTAACCAAGAAATTCTGGACTTAAATACAACACCTGACCAATTGGACCTAATAGACATCTACAGAATACACCTATCAACCCACAATATACATTCTTTTCATCTTGCACACCAAACATACTGCAAGATCAACTATATTCTTGGCCATAAAGCAAGTCTCAATAAATTCAAAAAAATCAAAATTATACCAACCATACACACAGACCACAGTAGAATAAAAATAGAAGTCAATACTAAGAAGACCTCTCAAAGCCACACAATTGCATAGAAATCAAACAACTCTATCCTGAATGACTCTTGGGTAAACAATGAAATTAAGGCAAACACCAGAAAAGTCTTTGAAATAAATAAAAGCAGAGACACAACATACTAAAATCTCTGGGATGTAGCAAAAGCAGTGTTAAGACGAATATTTGCAGTGCTAAACGTCTACCTCAAAAAGTTAGAAAGATCTCAAATTAACAATTTAACATGACACCTAGAGGAACTATAAAAACAAGAACAAACTAACCCCAATGCTAGAAGAAGAAAAGAAATAACTAGAATCAGAGAAGAACAGGATGAAATTGAGACCGAAATATCCATACAAAGAGTCAACTAAACCAAAAGTTTGTTGTTTGAAAGGATAAACAAGACTGATAGACCACTAGCTAGGTTAACAAAGAAAAAAGGAGAGAAGATCCAAATAGGCACAATCAGAAATGACAAAGGTGACGTTACACAACCAATCCCACAGAAATACAAAAGATCCTCAGAGACTATTATGAATACCTCTATGCACACAAGCTAGAAAATCTAGAAAAAAAAATAGATAAATTCCTGGAAACACAAAATCTCTTAAGATCGAATCAGGGAGAAATTGAAACCCTGAACAGACCAATATTAAGTTCCAAAATTGAATCCATAATTTTAAAACCTATCAAACAAAAAAGCCCCAGACCAGATGGATTCACAGCTGAATTCTACCAGATGTGCAAAGGAGAGCTAGTACCAATTCTACTGAAAGTGTTCCCAAAAATCTAGGAGGAGGGACTTCTCCCTAACTCATTCTACAAAGTTAGTATCACTCTGATACCAAAACCTAATAAAGACACATCAACAACAAAAAAAATAAAACTGCAGGCCAATATCCCCGATGAACATACGTGCAAAAATTCTCAACAAAATACTAGCAAACTGAATCCAACAGCACATCGAAAAGTTAACTCATCATGATTAATTAGGCTTTATTCCTGGGAGGCAAGATTGGTTCAACACACACAAATCAATAAATCTGATTCACCACATAAACAGAATTAGAAACAAAAACCATATGATCATCTCCACAGACACAGAAAAAGCTTTCAATAAAATCCAACATCCCTTCATGATAAAAACCCGCAAGAAACTAGGTATCAAAGGAACACCCTTCAAAATAACAAGAGCTGTCTATGATAAACCCACAGCTAACAACACACTGAATAGCCAAAAAACTAGAACCATTCCCCTTGAGAACTGGAACAAGATAAGGATGCTCACTCTCACCACTCCTATTCAGCATAGTACTGGAAGTGGTAGCCAAAGCTGTCAGGCAAGAGAAAAAAATAAAAGACATACAAATAGGAAAAAAAGAAGTCAAATTATCTCTCTTAGCAGATGATATGTTTCTATACCTAGAAAACCCTAAATACTCCACCAAAAGGCTCCTAGAATTGATAAACAATTTCAGTAAGGTTGTAGAATACAAAGTCAATGTATAAAAATCAGTAGCATTTTTATACACCAATAACATTCAAGCTGAGAACCAAATCAAGAACATGATCTCATTTACAACAGCCACAAAGAAAATAAAATACCTAGGAATACATCTAACTAGGAGGTGAAAGATCTCTACAAGAAGAACTACAAAACACTGCTGAAAGGAATCATAGATGATACAAACAAATGGAAAAACATTCCCTACCCATGGACTGGAAGAATCAGTATCATTAATCTGGCCATACTGCCCAAAGTAATCTACAGATTCAATGCTATTCCTATCAAACTACCAATGTCATTTTTCAAATAACTAGAAAAAACTACTGTAAGATTCATATGGAACAAAAAAAAATCCAAATAGCCAAAGCAATATTAAGCAAGAAGAACACAGCCAGAGGCATCACATTATCCGACTTCAAACTATACTATAATACTACAGTAGCCAAAATAACTTGGCACTGGTACAAAAACAGACACATAGACTAATGGAACAGAATACAGAACCCAGAAATAAAGCCACACACCTACAGCCATCTGATCTTCAACAAAGTCAACAAAAATAAGCAATGGGGAAAGGGCTCTCTAAACAATAAATGGTGCTGGGTTCGCTGTCTAGTCATACACAGAAGAATGAAACTGGATTCCTACCTTTCACCGTATACAAAAATTAGTTCATGTGGATTAAAGATTTAAATGTAAGACCTCAAACTGTTAAGAATCCTAGAAGAAAACCTAGGAAAAACCATTCTAGACATTAGCCTTAGGAAAGAACTTGTAATTCAGTCCTCAAAAGCAATTTCAACAAAAACAAAAATTGACAAGTGGGACATAATTAAAGGGCTTCTGCACAGCAAAAGAAACTATCAACAGAGTAAACAGACAACCTACGGAATGGGAGAAAATATTCAAAAAACACACATCTGACAAAGGTCTAATATCCAGAACCTACAAGGAACTTAAACAAATGAACAAGCAAAAAACAACCCCATTAAAAAATGGGCAAAAGACATGAAAAGACGCTCCTCAAAAGAAGACAGACATGCAGCCAACAAACGCAAAAAAATGCTCCATATCACTAATCATCAGAGAAATGCAAATCAAAACCACAATGAGATACCATCTCACACCAGTCAAAATGGCTATTACTAAACAGTCAAAAAACAACAGATGCTGTGATGCTGTGGAGAAAAAGGAATAATTATACACTGTTGGTGGGAAGGTTAATTAGTTCAGCCACTATAGAAAGCAGTTTGAAGAGTTCTTGAAAAAGTTAAAACAGCACTACAATTTGGCCCAGCAATCCCACTACTGGGTATATATCCAAATGAAAACAATTCATTCTACCAAAAAGACACATGCACTGGGCACAGTGGCCCACGCCTGTAATCCCAGCACGTTGGGAGGCCGAAGTTGGAGGATGACCTGAGGTTGGGAGTTTGAGACCAGCCTGACCAACATGGAGAAACCTTGTCTCTACTAAAAATACAAAATTAGCCAGGTGTGGTAGCGCATGCTTGTAATCCCAGCTACTCAGGAGGCTGAGGCAGAAGAATTGCTTGAACCCAGGAGGCAGAGTTTGCACATCATTGCACTCCAGCCTGGGCAACAAGAGCGAAACTCTGTCTCAAAAAGAAAAAAAGACATGCACACACACATTCATCACAGCACTACTGACAATAGCAAAGACATGGAATCAACCTAGGTGCCTATCAACAGTGGATTAGATAAAGAAAATGTGGTACATATACACTATGGAATACTATGCAGTCATAAGAAATGGAAATGGACAGAGAAAAAGAAGGCGGGGGACGGGATCAGAGGCAGCTTCACAGAGAGGCACACTTGAGTCAAAACTTGACTCACGTTTGAAAGATGAATGTGAGTTTCCAGGCATATGGGAGCTAGGGGTGCATGGAGGGGTTGTGGGTCCCCGCTGGGAAAATAGCCTGTAAGGCATAACAGGAATAACTGTGATTCACTGAGGACGTACTGTGTTAGGCACTGGAACAAGAGCTTTACAAACATTATCTCATGTACTCTTCACTGGGTGCCTATGAGGAAGGTACTATCATCCACATTTCATAAGTGAGGGAGCAAGGCCTACGGACTTCCACTAACTGCCTGAGGCCACACAGACAGGAAGAGATGGGGTAGGCCTGATTCTCTGTCTTTTGGATTCCAGAGCCTACAACCACTTCAGTATCTTTGGGCAACGATAAGCAACTTGCTGTTGCCAGAAAAGTGAGGGTCAGAGACCCTTAAAAGTGAGGGGAGGTGACCAGCCTCTGACAGTACACGTAGCAGAGGAGCTTGGCTGCCTCCCGTAGGCTGTGGTGGAGCACAGCGGCCTGAGTAGCATGGGGAGAAGCCTAACCTGCCTTTCCATTGCTCACTCTGGCAGCCTGTGAGTGCGCAGCCCCGGACAGGAGCCCATCCCAGGGACTGGCTGCACAGCTGTTCTGCAAAAGTAAAGAAACCACGTCTCCTCAGTCCTTACACCTGACTTCTTGTAAATGTCCAGTTCTTGTTAGGTTTTCTAACATATCGCCCCTGGACTCCTGTTCTAACCTGATGTCTTATAAACATTCAGGGCTCCTTGGAAAACCCAGGGTTTCTCTGAGGCCCCAAGTCATCCACCTGCTGAGTGAGCCCTGCTCAGATGCATTCTGGAGGGAAAAATCACATAAATTCCCTTCCAATCTATAACTCTTCTTAAAGTCTTCCTTAATGCAATCCTCGGGGACACACACTTGACACGGCTGTACTTCTCTAAAGGAAGGGAGAATCGCTGTGGCCTAGCCCAGGCCATCTGCCACACTTGCATAGAATGTTTTTCCTATGGAAGCTTATTTTGGAATATAATCACAGAGGAAATTGAGATAAACAGGCTTTTCCTTTTCTGGACAATTCTTAGAGATAAAATCTACTGCAGAAGGCAAGACACTTAACTTCTGCCCAGAAACTGATGTCACGTGGTTAACGTGTGGTGGCCACATCAACTGAAGCCGACAGTGACACCGAGTCAGCATCCTGGGTGCAGCTGCCACCCTGTCACTCTCATCACATTCCACCATTCCCAGGCCACAGAGGCAAGAGGATACTCTCAAAACTTAGAGATAGCTTTAGTTTTAGGAAAATAGGACGGAAAAATATCTTATGCCTCAGAATAATAGGTGGAATTCAATTGCTCTTCAAGGCAGCACAAGCATAATGTCCAAATAGGCTTACAAAGGCTTTCCCTAGATTGTGGGTGATTGATCTGTGGCAGGCTATTAAGGGAAGTTCAGGATGGCCAGGCTATTTTGAGGCTGATATCTTGGAGAACCCTCTCTCTCTCCTGCAAACCACTCCCTTGGCATCACTCTCAGAGACAAGCTGCTGGCCTGTGCAGCCCACACCCTGACTCAGGGTGGCATTTTTCTCAAGCCCTCTCCTTTTAAGGCCATCAGGGATCTGAGCCCCCATGGGTAGGGAACAGGCCAGGCAGCTGGAGCGTACAAGAGTCACCACTACGAATAGCTTGACTCTGAAGTTTCTAAAAGGGAACCTGGACCACCTGAGCCTCCCCAGAAGACGCCTCAGTCACATTTACCCTGCTGCTGCCATTAGTATCAGGCAGAGCCATCTGTACACGCGGGAACATGAAGGGCACTTTGCAAGACTTCAGCTGGTGGGTTAAATGTGGCTCACAGCTGTCGCTGAGGCACACTCCCCAAAATAGTCTCAACACAGCAGTAGGAAAGATGACACAGAGGTGACTGAGACTAATAGCAATACAGTATTACTATTATCCCTTGAATAAAGTATGTAAATCAAGGTGTTAACCATCAGGAGCAGAGAAAAGAGAGTGTTAAGTATAGGGGCTTAGCTGTAAAAAGAATCAGAAGAAAAAGAAAAAAAAACCCTCAGTTAAAGGGCTAGATAGTCTAGAAAATTTGTTAGGTATTTATATTATTAACACAGAGCAGGGTAACACGATAGAATAGAAACCTGTTACAAACAGGCAACAACAACAACAAAATAGACAACAACCCTAGAAGAAAAATGCCTTGAAGGAAAAGCTGGAATACTGTGAGAGACTTACCAGTGGCCTGTCTGCGTGTAACTAACTCCTCATCCCGACTTGGTCACGCAAAGGACAGGTGACCATACCTCCAGGAAGGTGGAAAGGGGCCCTACATGAGTGAGAGGCTCAAGTCCTGCCCAAGTGGAATCTGTGATTCTGTGATCTAAAGAAAGTTTGTGGCTATTTTTAGAAACTAAAGTTTATCTCATATTGACACAAACTCAAAAATCAATGATACTTTGAGATATGTCATATCACAAAAAAGATTTCTCCTCTAGTACATTATCATTTAACCAATACAAACAGGTCTGGGCCAGGTGCTGTGGTTCATGCCTATAAACCCAGCACTTTGAGAGGCTGAGGGGGGTGGATCCCTAGAGCCCAGGAGTTTCAGGCCAGCCTGGGCAACATGGTGAAACTCTGTCTCTACCAAAAGTACAAAAATTAGCCAGGTATAGTGGCACACACCTGTAGTTCCAGCTACTAAGGAGGCTAAGGTGAGAGGACCACTGAGCCCAGGGACGTAGAGACTACGGTGAGACATGATTATACCACTGCACTCCAGCCTGGGCAACAGAGGGAGACCTTCTCTCAAAAAGAAAAGAAAAGAAAAAGAAACAGGTCTAATTTGTTCATCTAAGCAATGATAAGATTTATATGAACATAAGTTGCTTTATTGATGAAAAATTGAACATAATCTAATCAAGCCTCTAAATTTAACTGCCAATTTATAGGAAAAGACAGGACAGAACCTACAGGAATGCAATCATTTATATCTAGAATGTGGAAGATTCTGCATGACAAACGACTTGGATTCTTCAACATGTAAATTTCAAGGAAAGAGAGAGAGAGAGAGATAAAAAGGCTTGTTTCCAGATTTGAATGACATGTTAATAGACATTTATGAGACAATCAAGGAAATTTGAACATGGACTGCATATTGAATGTTGAGGGATTATAGTTAATTTTTAAAGGTACAATTGTGATACTGTGATTATATTTTTAAATGCGATCATTATCTTTTAGGAGCACTAAAATATTTACTAATAAAATTATAGGATTTACTTCAAAATAAACAACGATAATAAGATTACCATGAATAGTGGTGGGTGAAATATACAAGGGGCTTATTTGACATTTCCATAATAAAAAACACGAATGAATAACAAAGCATTATAGAAATTCAAGTAAAAAATAGCTCGTGCTTAGTAATAAATCAAAGCGTGCTGGACACTTTAAATAATAAACAAAGATAAGATCTTGCCCTCTAGAAAACAGCTCTAATTCAGGACAGACTTGCTCACATCAGATGGAAGAGTCAGAATGAGATGTGCTGAGTAGAAGGTAGAACGGTCGCTAGCAGAGGGTGGGAAGGTGGTATGTGTGGGGGAGAGGAGAAAGAGAGGTTGATTAATGGGTACAAACAGACAGTTAGATGGAAGGAGTGAGATCTGTTGTTCGACAGTAGAGTAGGGTGACTACAGTTAACAACAATATTTGCATATTTCAAAATAGCTAGAAGACAGGACTTGGAATGTTCCCAACACATAGAAAGGTGATGAACTCAAGGTGCTGAACACCCCAAATACCCTGACTTGATCATTATGCAATAACAAAATATCACATGTACCCTGTAAATATGTACAAATACTACATATCAATTTAAAAATTTTCACACAAGAATGAGATGTGCTGATGCATGTGGAGGCCCTAGCTCCAGACTGGGTGTAAACTTCAAGCCACTGAAGATCTTATTTCCAAGGTTTTTCTACTTTGAAATTCCAAACTTATTTTTCTAGCAGATTTATAAGGGACACGGGACAACATAAACTTGTTAAAGTGACAAGAGAAAGTAAATATGCCCTTAAATTTATACCAAATCTTCTGACAAGTCTTGACTGATAATTGTTTCCTTCAAATTTGTGAAAAACATGAGAGAAAACGTGTTTGTATCTCATTTTTAAGTGTGGACACTTGGCATTGCTCACGGCTTCCAACGGAATAAAATAGGGCTTAGTTGTTTTCCATTAGCTTTTTCCTTTGTGTGTGTGTGTGTGTGTGTGTGTGTGTGTGTGTGTTGTGTGTACATATTGGCTCTAAGCATTTATTAGCCCAATAATTTTTAGTGAAACTCTCCACTTCTCAATATCTTTTGCCGTATTAGATTTTTGTAACATGTGCTAAAGGTTAAAACACCTTTTCCCCTTCATGAAGCCTGAGAGAAGTCGGTTTTCTGGGTTTTCTCAAGACAACCCAGAGGTTTTGTATACGTCTGTCTAAAAAGTCTCAGATTTTTCTTGCTAATTGTGCACCTTCATAATCAAGCAGACAAATCAGAATATTATTTTGGTGAGGCCATCATCTAAACTAACAGTCTTTATGTACAGAAGCAGCACTGACCGGGTTCATACTCCTCAGTTAGCAAGTCAACATCTTCCTCCTGCCAGCAACCCATCCCAGAATATCTGTGGCTTATTAATACTTATGAAAACAACAGTCTTCATTATTTACTAATTAGGAGATGATCAGATGTATCTATTGATAGCAACAGGCTATTTAAAAGTGAAATAATCTATCAAACAGATTTTTTATCAACTCAAAGTTTCCAGTTAGATATTTTTCATTAAATTGATTGCTAGATTGCAGCCACAATCAAACTTAAGTATTATAAGAAGTTTGGTTGGTCTTTTAAAATCATGCAAAAATTCAAGGGGTGCTATTAAATATAGAATTCCAAATGTATAAAGTCTTGTCCTAAAATGGTCAATAAAATGAACCAGTCCACTGGTTCATTTATAGGGGGCCAGTCCACTACATTAATTTGGATGTTCTTCGTCTGCATTTTCATGTTTTCACACACCTGCAGTCATTGTGTACAATTCTGGACTCTTGATTTTCATTTAGCATTCTGCGTTAATATTCTGACATGTTGCTGCCAGGTCTTCATGGCCACCACTTTTAATGGCCAGAAAATATTTCATGTAGTGAACATTTCATAAATTACTTAACCATGTCCCAATTATTGGTTATTTAAGGAATTTAAAACTAAAACACCACTCTTGTGACAAAGTTCTGATGTATCCAGATGTACTCATGCCAAGTCGTCCATCAATAGTTCTGCTAAACCCTGTCAGAGCCCTTTTCTGAAGGGAACCAGGAAACATCTCACAACAAGAAGCTTAAGGCCTCTACAAAATGACTTCAGGGTTAGGATTTCAATTTCACTCTGAGGCACATACAGGAACCACTAGGTTATTTGGCTTAGAATGGAGGGAAGTGTCATTTTGTTTCTGTTCGGCCTGCAGGAAGCTCCTTCCCAGGCCCTGCATTGCCAATTGAACAATTGAACAATTCTCATTGTTCAATTCCCACCTATGAGTGAGAACATGCATTGTTTGGTTTCCTGTCCTTGCGATAGTTTACTGAGAATGATGGTTTCCAGCTTCATCCATGTCCCTACGAAGGACATGAACTCATCATTTTTTATGGCTGCATAGTATTCCATGGTGTATATGTGCCACATTTTCTTAATCCAGTCTATCACTGATGGACATTTGGGTTGGTTCCAAGTCTTTGCTATTGTGAATAGTACCGCAATAAACATACGTGTGCATGTGTCTTTATAGTGCCTAGAACATAATAGGAGCTCCAGAAATACTGTTGAAAAAATGAATAAATTGAGCACACTAAGTGTCTGAATAAAATACCCTGACCATACCCCTAAATAAACAACATAAATAAGCAAATTTCAATTTCTCGGAAAAGTTATATTTTAGTGTCCAATGCTCTTGTTATGCAGTAATGGCATCTTTGATTATTCATATTCGTTAGAGCTTCCAGAAAGGAGTATTGCAAATCACACGGGCCTCTGACTCTCATGACCAAATCCCCCTGTCACTGTCCTTGTTCTCTGATCCTTCCTCTGGGCCCTCGGAAATGCTGGTCTCCATCAAATTGCTGTAAACAGTTTTCAGAAAAAGTTCTCTTTGGGAAGTTTCAAGAGAAAACCACAAATTTCCTGGAAATGCTTCATGCTTCATGACATTTAAGGCTTTCAGAGCCTTGAACTTCAGGAGCAAGATAGCTGGTAGGTCTTCTGGAGGTCTTGCCTAACCTGAGAAGGTCCCAGAGAATTTGTGCATAGAACCTCCCAGGAAGCAGTAAGACAGGCTGGTGCAGTCCCACAGGATGAGAAAGGTAAGAGCTTACCAATGTCTCCAGTTTTGTAAATGAATGTTCTTAGCATTTTTGGTGAGGAGAAAAAAATATCAAACCCATCACAGACAGATCAGCAGTCTCTTGACCTAGGTCACTCAAGGGGTTCTCAACAATCAATTCTAAAATGCAAGTGAAAAATGTCAATATAAGGCTAGACACAGGGGCTCATGCCTGTAATTCCAACACTTTGGAAGGCCAAGGCAGACCTAGAACTTTGTAAATCTGAGATTTTGCTCCATGACTTTGTGGATACTTTCTACTAATACCACCTACACAAAATCTTCAACCAAGAATCTTAATTGCATTTATCAACTTGTGTCCTTAGATCATAACATTTAGATTCATTTGAAAGAAATTTATTGAAGTAAAAGAAATAAGAAGAACTTGATAGCACAAAACAAAGAAAACCCAGAAAGAGAGAGAGAGAGAGAAGCAGAAAAACTAAACACTGAAACCCAGAGAGAGAGAGAGAAGTAGAAAAACTAAACACTGAGTCTTAATCTGTTCTGCCACTAGTCAGCAGCCTGCACAGAGCACTTTAATGTATTCTCTGTCCATTAGTTTCCTTGTTTATGAAAGTATATAGCTCCAAAAAAATTCTGTGTTCTGATTTTTGTCTCTCCAAACCACAACCAGTCCCCTGCTCCCTTCTCTCCTCCTCCTCCTCCTTCTTCTTCTTTCTCTCTCTCTCCCTGTCTCTCTCTCTCTCTCTCTCTCTCCCCCTTTCCCTCTCCCCCACCCACCCACCTCCCAACCCCTGCATACACCTAGGACACCTCCAGCATAGGTTACTACCAATTTTGCACACCTCCAGCATAGGTTACTACCAATTTTGCTGGGTTTATCTCCTTCTGTCCTTTCCGCTTTGATCTGAGGAATAGCTGAGATTTAGGACAGCAACAAGGTGTACCTCCTTCCAGGTTATAAAACAGGATTAATGATTAGGCTCAAGGCCCCTTCCTAGTCACTCAGTAAAGTCTGTGCACTGGAAAACTGTGGTAGCAGTTTTCTGAGCATTAGAAAACTGTGGTTCTCACAGAGGCTGGATGAGTCAACACTGCCATCTGGCGGCCTCTTGGAGGGTGATGTGGAGCCTGGCTTTCATTGAAGAATGAAGGTCCCTTGATTTCCTGACCCTCAGCCAACTCTCCAGCAGCTTCTCACTGCAGAAGAGGTCAGGCCATTGGTCAGCTTGAGGACAAAGTGGGAGGATCACACTTTCGATCACCTATACTTTCTAACAATCAGCCCTGTGGACATCTGCTCACGCCCCATGCTGTTTTTAAAATATTTTCCCATTATAGAAATATTTTTCAAAGATGATTCACAAGCTCCAGGAGCCATTCAGACAAGGGAGAGCAAATTGGCAGCTAAACTCATTCAAGAGTGGAGCAGATGCACATGAAGCTCTGTCTGGCGGAGGAGGCACAAGACACCGAGCCTGGCTGGGAGGGTGCTCATGACAAGAGTGGGGCCACAGGCCTCTCCTTTCATTGGACATAGTGGCCATACAAAGTGGCTGCCTTGAAATGCACCCACATACACTATCGGTCCTCCCGGTCTAGGGAGAAAACTAGCACAGTATGTCAACAGATAAATCAGCGCAATCCTGTGGGTGAAGCAGTGCACCCATACTCTTCATTCTGCTGAGCGGAACTCAAGGGTGAGACACTTGTATTCCTAACTCCACTTGCCTTCAGGCTCCTCCAACATTCCAAATTGCCCATGGACAGAGCTACTACCCCTCCATAGAAGTGACAACTTGAAATAAAAGATTTGAAGCTCCTTCCCACGTTTAGACCCAGGCCTGCTGCTAGGAACTCCAGAGGAGGGATGGAAAGAAGTTTGCACTGCTCACAGATTTAATGTTTCTCTCACAACCAGAAGTAGGCAGCAGGATGGATTTTCAATCAACACTAACAAACGGATCACTCCTGGGTCCTTTAAACAAGTTCCATGTCTCTTTATAGGTTTTAGGTGCCTCCTATGTGTTCAGACTTCGTATAATGGATATATAAGAAAAGTAAATGGGAGGGGCAATATTTAAGAAATAACAGCAAACAATTGCATTCATATTTAATATAAACTACAAGTATCAAGTTAATAGACGCTCAGAAGAAATTCATAAAATCTAGAAAAGTTGGGAAAATCTCAATAGAGAAAATAAAACTTGATCTGGACTTTAAGAGTATGATTTATAAAGTTCAAGGGGACAGTACACAAAGTCAGACAATGTTAGCTGAATCACTGAAGAATGAGAATATCACACCCACTTAACAAAGCAGCCCAGCTAGTTAAAGAAGTATGTTGAAGAGGTAGGGAGTTGGGTGGGGGAGGCGAGGATGGCGTGGAGGGATCTGAAAACTATCAACCTTAAATAATGAGATTTAGAAAATATGATTAAGTAGAGGGTTAATTCGAGTGCAGAGCTTGAGAATGGCCACCTGGAAACACTGACTCTAAACCAGTAAGGTTAATGTTTCAAAGTGGAGAAGTTAAGGTTTCACTTAGAAATTTTAGCAGGATCACATTTTCCATACAAGACCAGTGCATTCGCCACAGCAATTTGATTGGTTATAGATTGCTGCTCATTCCAAGATTACTTTATTACTCTGTGCGGAGGAGTAGTGATTTGAGGGGTCTTATGTCTGGTGCCTTTTTGTCTTGTTTACAGGGGAAAAGGCAGAAGTTGCGCCTGCATGCCGCATAACTCAGGCTCTGCATAGCCACATGTCTTTCAAGGCTCAGAATAATTTGAAGTTCCAACAGCTTTAAGTTTGAATTAATTTCACAAAGCGGAGAAAGACTTGGACTTCGTGCAGTAATGAAGACCACCGATGGGTACTGAACAGCTCTGGTGGGTTTGCACTCAGAGAAAGGAGCCTAAGATGCAGAAGGTGCAGTGAGGCAGCAGCCATCTGCTCTTGTGCTGCTGAGCAGAGCATGATGGGCTGTCACCGCTCACGCGTGTTCTTTACCTGCTGACTCACCTGGCGGCATGGGCTGCATATGGGGTCCCAGCTCCTTAAGCTCCTGTCAGGCCCTTCTGCAACTTCTCCCAAGCTCTTGGGCCAGGTGCATGTCTAGCCATGAAAAAGGAGGCCAGTACCTGATCACTAAGTGAAAGTTCTAAGGTAGTGGGACTGCCACAGGTGTCCCCCATGGTCCCAGGTCACAATCCAGTCTGTTGACCCTCCTCCTTTTGCACCATCGCCCCTTTGACAGCCTGTGCTATGGGTTTTAGGCTCCTAGCACCAAACAGAAACAGGCTTATATAGATCATCTAATCAGCTCTTCTTATGTGAGGCCGAACTCTGTAATAAATCTTTTTATGTCTCCTAGGGCTTCTCTGATTGAACCTGTCTGATGAGGAGTTAAAGAAGTTCTCAAATTGTGTATGCATAAGAATCACCTGGGATTTCTAGCTCAGAGACTGGGACAATAGGTCTATTGAACCTAGGAGTTCATTTTGAACAAGTGCTCTACGTAATTCTGATACAGGGAATCTTCCAGTTACAGTTTGAAATTCACAAATACAAGGAATGAGAGACCTAGAATCAGAAAGCATGTTAATACACTTTTGGGCCATTAAGTGCTCACCCAGGTAACAGGTACAGAAAGGCAGAAAAAGGAAACCTATCAGGGTAATAATTATGCCTTTTTTTTTTTTTTTTTTTGAGACAGGGTCTTGCTCTATCACCCAGGCTGGAGTGCAGTGGCACAACCACAGCTCACTGCAGCCTTGACCTCCTGGGCTCAAGTGATTCTTCCAGTTCAGCCTCTTGAGTAACTACGACTACAGGCATGTGCCACCATCCCTGGCTCATTTTTTGTAGAGAGGGGGTTTGGCCATGCTGCACAGGCTGGTCTCAAATTCCTGGGCTCATGTGATTTCCCCACCTCAGCCTCCTAAAGTATTAGGATTACAGGCGTAAGCCACTGTGCTTGGCCAAGACATTTTGGTAAGAAATATTATTTTCCTACTAAATTGTCTACATTCCCCTTGGGTAGGCTTGCAAAGTCACTGTGACTACAGCAGGAGCTATTGCTGCATGGGAAATATGGAGACACGAGTGGTACCTGGCAGTCACGGGCTCAGTTTGTTTCTAACCTCCCAAGTCAGCACAGCCCCACTGAGCAGACTGCCGGAAAGTATTTATGCCATCTGTCGGATAATTAAGACAAATCCAAACATCTACGTGCATTCTGTGTGTATAAATGGAGTCATGGCCAACCTCTCAAGCAGTTTTCCATCAATCACTTGTAATATTACCAGATACTTCCAATCCCCTTGCAGGCAGTAATGAAGAGAAAGTCTCTACATCAGCAGCTTCTCACTGGAATCTTCAAGCCTAACTCTTAAGAATGAATCATACTTCTAATGTTTATCAAAGGTTTTCTTTTCACACAAGGAATGTGCCTGAATGATCTATAAAACTACCCAAATAACTAGTAGCCAGGTTAGCTCTAGGAGCCATATGCCAAACACATTCTGGACTAAGTCGTGTTCACTCCAAAACTAAGACCATGTTCAAAGTCTACAGCAATACTGGATTAAAACAATGTTAGCTGAAGGTTGTAAAAAAACATCATGGAACACTAATTATGTGCCATCAATCATTACTCAATTTGTAGAACTTCCCTATACACCTTGGGAGGTGAGAACCTTATAGAAAATCCTAGATACACAACTTTATATAAACAGAAAATTCCAAAATGGGAAATCCTTTAGAATAAGAATATACCTAGTGTATATAAAGAAGAAAAAATGTAGATTTGAAATTGGGATACTCTACAGTTTTTAGTTGGGACATTGGGATAGTTAATTTTAGGTGTCAACTTGACTGGATTAAAGGATATCAAGACAGCAGGTAAAGCATTACTTCTGGGTTTGTCTGTGAGGATGTTTCCGGAGACTGGCCTAGGAGTTTGTGGACTGAGTGCAGATCAGCCTGTGTGAGCAGGCACCATCCAACTGAATGGAGCCCAGATAGAACCAAAAGGCAAAGGCAAATAATTCACTGTCTTTCTCCTCGAGCCAGGGACTTGATTAGCAACCCCTCACACCCAACTCCTTATTTTCAGGACTTCAAGGGTTATACCATCAGCTTCCCTGGTTGTGAGGCCTTCAGACTTGGACTGAGCCATGCTGCCAGTTTCTCTGGCTCCCCAGCTTGCAGACAGCCAGGCATGGGAATTCTCAGTCTCAATAACTGAGTGAGCCAATTTCTTTAATAAACCCTTTCTCATCTCTCTCTATATACAAACATATCCTATTGGTTCTGAGTCTTTGGAGAATCCTCATACAGACACTGTTAAGAGATGAACCAGGTGTTACCACTGTGTCCCCAATGCCTGGGATAGTGAGTGACAGTATTGATGTTTGTGCAATAAATGTTTACAATGTGTATCTACTAGCAGCTTTCGATAATTTGAATTATTTATAAAAGGCAAAATAAACAAAAGTGGTATCTAAGATTAACCACTAACTTAGTAAAATTCCATTTATACCACAGGTTGTTCTGGTACAAAGCATACAATAACTCCCATGTTACATATAATTTGACTTGTTCAATAACAAGAAAATTACTCAAATATTATAATGGAGTTAAAATGTATTTAATAGATCTAAAAAATTTTGGCTCTATCAAAACTTAGGTCTCAATTATAACATTACTAAAGTGCTTGTAAAAATTATCCCAGATTTCTGGCTACAGCTTGTATAAAGGCCTATTTTTTTTTTTTTACAGTTTTATTTTGGTTGAAGATTTTTCTCCAAAATAGCTATTCCAGATGGCTTAACAGTCCCAGAAGTGAAAAATCTTAAGATATTTCATTTATAACCATTAGAGTCTTAATAAAACCCTAGTAAATACTCTCCCTTCTGGATGGTTTAAAGGTCCCTTCAGGCAAGCTGGCTGCGTAAACACCAGAGCCCTCTTCATAAGATAAGTTTGCTCAAAAGGTCAACTTTTACAGAGAAATTCCTACCTCATTAGTGTAAGGGAAAATTAACATGACCTGTTTTCATTACTTAAAATGCAAAAAAAAAAAAAAAAAAAAAAAAAAAATCTCAGAAAAATAGAAAAGGGTGGGAAAAATGAAGAAAATTAAAAGAAATTCTACTTCCTATATCTGTCCTGCTTAGAGAAGACAAGTTATAGCAAAATGAGTACTTCAGGTTTCTCTTTTAATAAACAAAACCATCCAAGGTACAGTTCCAAAGTACAAAATCAACCAGGTCTGAACTGATTGGTGATAAGAGCACACAGATC